>NC_000003.12:163402543-163705574 GCF_000001405.40 Homo sapiens
GGATATATATATAGCCATGGGATTTCTGGGTCATACGGTAGTTCAATTTTTTTGTTTATTAAGATACCTTCATACTGTTTTTCACAGTGGTTGTATTAAGTTGCCTTCCCTGCAAGAGAGTATGAGGGTTGCCCTTGCTCCACATTTCTTCACTTTCATTATCTTGTTGTCTTTTTGATAAAAGCCATGCTTCTCCAATTCTTTCGGTTGTGATGTTAGGTTGTTAATTTGAGATATTTCTAACTCTTTGATGTGAGCATTTAATGCTATAAATTTCCCACTTATCACTGCCTTAGCTGTGTCCCAGAGATTCTGATATGTTGTATCTTTGTTCTCATTTGTTTCAAAGAACTTCTTGATTTTGGCCTTAATTTCATTGTTTACCCAAAAGTCATTCAGGAGTATGCTGTTTAATTTCTGTATAGTTGGATGGTTTTATTAACCTAGATAGATGTTTAACACTAATATTTTTAAATCATAAGCTTTTTTGTTTGTTTGTTTGAAACGGATTCTTGCTCTGTCGCTCAGGCTAGAGTACAGTGGTGCGAACTTGGCTCACTGGAACCTCCACCTCCTGGGTTCAGACGATTCTCCTGGCTCAGCCTTCTGAGTAGCTGGGAGTACAGGCGCCCGCCACTGTGCCCAGCTAATATTTGTATTTTTAGTAGAGACGGGGTTTCACCATTTTGGCCAGGCTGGTCTCGAACTCCTGATCTCGCGATCCACCCGCCTCAGCCTCCCAAAGTGCTGGGATTACACGCGTGAGTCACTGTGCTGGGCCAGCTTTCGGTTTTATTATTTTTTTCCACGGTTTTCTGTTTTTTCATTATTATTATTTTGCTGATTTCTTTTTAAAAATAATTTTTATTCCTGTTTATTTTACGTAAAATTTTGTTCTCTTTTTAAATGTTTTTAAGCAGGAATTTCTGGCCACTGATTTTATGTAATTTGTTAGCTCTAATAATACTATAAAACAGTATAAATTATCTTCTAAGCAATATTATTTCTGCATTCCACCAGTTTTAAATGTTGTATTTTCACCTCATTTCAGCTTAATATTATTTTCCTTTATGACTTATTATTAGATTCATGCATTGTTTAGAAATGTGATGCTAAATTTTCAAATATTTTATGTGATTACTTTTGCAGTTGATTTCTAATTTAATTATATTTTAGTCAGAAAATATGCTCTACTCTAAACTTGCTTTACAATTTAACTAGGGTTTAGGGTATGCTTGATAAAGCTCATAGGCTACGGTTTAGAATGTAGGCTAAGGATGTCAAGAAACTGAACTCTCTAGGGTGGCATCTGAGTGCTAAAGCAGAGGGTACAATCCTGTTCCAAATGAAGATATAAACCCTGGGAAAGAGGATGATATAGAGATGCCACTTAGAAGTGAATGAGAACTTCAAACAAAAACTATAACAAATAGATACATCTTTGTACTACTAATTGTACTACTAATTTTTAGAGGCTGCATGAGGCCTGCAGACTGGATACAATGTGAATTGAATTGGAAGATAAAATAACTGTGTGTTTGAGCTTTGAGCTTGGAATAGGAAAAATGTATAGCACCAGTGGTATAAGATCAGAGGACTTTTTCTTAATATTTCTGATTTGATAAGCAAAAAGATATTGATTATCATGTGGGAGAGGAAAGGGAAAAGAAAATTACTATAAATACATTTCTTTGTAGTGTAAGGTTAGTTTGAGCAATATTACATACATTTAAAATGCAAACGTGGTGCTGTCTGCTTATGAATCTTAAGGAGAAATTTTACAAGTTAAATTTTGGAAATAAAACCAGTAGTGTTAAGAATAACCATGCAAAAAATCACTTAACAGAGGATTAATTTTACTCGATTTATAACAAATCAGTTCTAACATTTTTTTTATTATACTTTAAGTTTTAGGTACATGTGCACATTGTGCAGGTTAGTTACATATGTATACATGTGCCATGCTGGTGCGCTGCACCCACTAACTCATCATCTAGCATTAGATATATCTCCCAATGCTATTCCTCTCCCCACCCCACCACAGTCCCCAGAGTGTGATATTCCCCTTCCTGTGTCCATGTGATCTCATTGTTCAATTCCCACCTATGAGTGAGAATATGCGGTGTTTGGTTTTTTGTTCTTGCGATAGTTTACTGAGAATGACACCAGTTCTAACATTTTTAGTAAACTGACATAAAAAGATCAGCAACCCCTAATAGTCAATGTTGATTTGAAGCATGCTGCTGCCTTAAGAAGAATTAAAAATGACCCTGCAAAATGTTTTACAATACCAGGGCAGATAAAGTGCAGGCAGCCTTTGACTCAAACAAAAAGAGGGCGGGGTCAAAAATAAAGCTTTTTGGAGGTTAAATATGAGATTCATATCATTTTACAACTCCAAGGATAAGGCTAAGGAAAAGAAGTTCTAGGATAATGACATTAAAGGTCTCTATTCCAGCTTCTAGCTTCATTTTTAGTGAACAATTTGAGAGAGGATAGAAATAAGAGGCACAAAGAAATAGTTTTCACAAAATCCTGTATGTCATAATTTATCAAAATATGCTTACTATAGTATTATCCTATAGGAAGGACCTCAATATATGTGCACTTAACCAGTTTTCATTTGAACAAAACAATATGGATTGTGATTTTTTTTTCAGTTATTTTATTTTAAGTTCAGGGGTAAATATGCAGGAGGTGCAAGTGTGTTACATACGTAAACGTGTGTCATGGGCCTTTGTTGCACAGATTATTACATTAACCAGGTATTACACTTAGTATCCATTAGTTATTTTTCCTGATCCTCTCCCTCCTCCCACTTTCCACCCTCCAATAGGCCCCAGTATGTGTTGTTCCCTTCTATGTGTCCATGTGTTCTCATCATTTAGCTCCCACTTATAAGTGAGAACATGACATTTTTGGTTTTCTCTTTCTGTGTTAGTTTGTTAAGTATAATGGCCTCCAGCTCCATATCATGTCCCTGCAAAGTGCAAAGTTGTGATTATTCTTATATACGTTGGTGCAATTTGTACAATATATTAACTCTCTAATAAGAATTTGTCAGACCCAAGAGTCAGTGGTTAGTCTGCATCACTTAGGGACTAAGGGAAAACCCCTTTCACATGCCCTCTAAAACTTCACTGAAAATCAAGTGACAAATGGTGGATGAATAGGAGAAAAAGCATTTAAATTTTATTTTAATGTGCATTGCACAGGAGAATGATAACCACATAGCTCAATGGGGTACAGATGTTTATATACCTTTCTTCATAGGGGAAAGGGAGTGGGGAAAAGGTGGATATTTGAGGAATAGTAAATACTTTTTAGGGGAAAGTGAATGGACTTGGAGGACGTACAATGACCTAGGACAATGTCTGCTGGGTCTAGAAAGTAGATGATTTGTTTTATTTTATTTTAATTTTTTATTTTATTTTATTTTAAATTTTTTATTTCAATATTGTATTGTATTGCATTGTATTGTGTTGTATTTATTGTATTGTATTGTATTTTAATTTTTATTTTAATTTTTTATTTTAATATTTCATTTTATTTTGTTTTATTTTATTTTATTTTATTTTTTTAATTTTTTTGCGGAGTCTTGCTCTGTCGCCCAGGCTGGAGTGCAGTGGTGCGATCTCGGCTCACTGCAAGCTCTGCCTCCCGGGTTCACGCCATTCTCCTGCCTCAGCCTCCAGAGTAGCTGGGACTACAGGCGCCCACCACCACACCTGGCTAATTTTTTGTATTTTTAATAGAGACGGGTTTTCGCCGTGTTAGCCAGGATGATCTCAATCTCCTGACCTCGTGATCCGCCCGCCTTGGCCTCCCAAAATGCTGGGATTACAGGCGTGAGCCACCGCGCCTGGCCAGTAGATGATGTGTTGTTATAATAGTCTGTCCCGGTGTCTTGGCTGACTTTTCGGTCTTTCTTCCTGTGATATGAGTTCAGTTAATGAAAACTCAAGGAAGGGACCAGAGTTGGTTGTTTGCTTCTTTGGCAGTCCAGACTGCAGACAGTTCAGGGAACTTCAGAGAACAGCTTCATTCTGTGCTTTGGGCAAAATAGAGGGTTAAGAGACAGGAGGGAGGGGGAAAGTTTGAGAGACCTTGAAGCTCCTTTTTAAATCCAGCAGGTCAAAGTGGCATATTACATACATTCAGAATTAAATTAATGTAGCTTAATATTAAAATTAAGTACTTTCTTATATTTATTTGATTTTTAGGAAACAAAATGACCCTTATTCATAACACCTACCGAAGATTAACAGATTTTTTTCCTAAAATATTAAATTAGAAAACCACAGGCCCTTTTACCATAAGAGTTAACAGTAATTTTATCTTTACTATTATAGACAAACAATTTTGCATGTTTTCACTCTATAAATAAAAATTGATTTGGATATTCTTTCGTATAGGAAGCTTTCTGTTTGTCCAGAGACTAGAGGGTAGATACCTATGATTTTTTAAGGCATTACTTGTATAAAACTTATTTGGTAGTCTATTTTTAAGGAAATGAGAAGAATATTTTTGTTTGGAAACCACTCAGAGACAATACTGATAACTACTTCGAATACTGTACAATGTTCTCACATATACAATGAGTTACGTTTGGATATGTGCCCTGCCTTCCAGTTTACGTGGCTCAGTTTTTCAAGTTTTTTTGTGTGATTTTCACAAGTTTACAAACCTGGATATTTACAAATGGAGTTTAAAACTTAGTACGTAATATAGTAATCATATCATAGCAGCTACATTTTACTGAGTAAATAGTATGGTCAAGATACTCAAATAAATGTTAAAATGTCTCATATTTCCCTTGGGTGATATTATATATTATGCATTAATATCTTTATATACTTTTAAGAACTCAAAGGTTTAAGGGGGCCAAGTATTCCTAAGAACTGCCAGCACATTGACTAACATCTATGGAACTCAGAACCTATTCTTCAAACTCTAAATTTTGCTTTTTCCATTAGTTATATAAACCATAGATCTTAAAAAAAAATGGAGATATAAATTTTGTCTAAGGCCAAAGGCCTAGAAGACTGACCTTCAGAGTGCTTCTTCCAAGAAATGTATGTTTACCTGTAATAAACCGCACCAAGTAGGTATAACTCCTTAGTGACTGTGTCTGGATGATCGTTCATGGTGTTTTTCAGAAACATGTAAAACTATACGATAAGAGATCTATTATTCAGGTGACACTACAAGGAGAAATTTAAAACACACCTCCTCTCCCACCTACATGCAGAGCTTTGAGCAACTGATATAGACAGTGAGTTCAAACAAGCAAAAACCCAAAAAGTGCACAACTGTAACAATTATAAAATAGGCCACTTGGTTAAACAGTCAGAGAGATGAATTTTACACTTGGTGTTAAATTATACAAACAGGCTGTTTGCAATTTACAAAGCCTTCCTTAAAAATCAATGGACAATTTGGCAGCACCTAAATAACTATGCAGTGAACAAGATGATAAACAATCATGCTTTCAGTAATAAGTTCCCTGATACATCAGAATGGCATTCCTGCACAGATGTAATAAGAAAATGACACCCAAAGAAAGATAGAAAAGTAATTAGACCTTACTAGAATACAGAGTATAATAATTAATTATTTTTGTAAATCCCTTGTTGACTAGACATTAACATAGAAACCTATTGCATATTTTCTGTATTTAGAAAGATTATATAATTTACCATCTCAACCAATATATTTTTGATAATGAAATGAGGCTCTATTCACATTTCTCTAGAACAACAGGTAAGAATCAGGCCTTCCTGGGCATAGTAGGATGTATGGTTATTAATAGTTATTATATTTAAGTGTAGTAAATTCCTATAATTTTATGTTGCCTCAGCATCTGATATAATTTGCTTCTGTGTCCCCACCCAAATCTCATGTTCAATTGTAATTCCCAGTGCTGGAGGTGGGGCCTGGTGGGAGGTGATTGGATCATGGTTTCTAATGGTTTAGCACCCTCCAACTAGTGCTGCCTTGTGATAGAGTTCTCACAAGATCTGGTTGTTTGAAAGTGTGCAGCACCTCCCTCTTCACTCTCTCTTCCTCCTGCAGGCCATGTGATGATGTACTTGCTCCTCCTTTGCCTTCTGCCATGATTGTAAGTTTCCTGAGGCCTCCCCAGAAACAAAAGCATGTACAACCCACAGAACCATGAACAAATTAAACCTCTTTTCTTCATAAATTACCAAATTTCAGATATGTCTTTAAAGCAGTGTGAGAAAGGATTAAAACAACATTCATTTTGAATATAGGCTTAACTTTGTCATACCCCAATGAGAGCTTAGTCACCCTTGACACAGTTTTCAATTATCCACTTCTTCCCAGTTCTTTATTGTGGTTAATCTACATATCTATCTTGTACAATTGCCTCTTGATGACTATCTTCTTGTTGTATGTATATGTCCCATAGACATCTATGGGACATATACATACAACCTACTTAACTCAACTCACTGACCGCGAATCCTGCACAAACTGCAGAGATGTTCCTGTGGCCATTCTCAGTCACTAAATGACTCCACAGAACTGGCACCTGTTTGCTCTAAACCAACCAATTAGAACTCCCCTTAGAAATTCTGCTTGGCTAATGCTCTGGACTCCAATAAAGTCCTTGGTCCATAGGAACTTTCTTTTTTTCTGGCTCCCTACTGGCTGATTGAGCACATTGATTCTTTGATTTTCCCATCAACCCATGGGTATGTCTCATTTCTCATGGACCTATGAGTAATAAACTACTTATGTTATTTCATATGTTTTGGTTTTGTTTTCTCCTTTGTGTCTCATTCAACCAACACACCAGAACCTAACTTTCTTCCCTGTCAAAGTTCTTCTACAGAGTAGCTATCTTGCCAAGAATAAACTAAACACAGGTTTATATAATAAACTAAATAAGAGCCAAAGGAGTGTCTGTCAGTGTAAATAGTCTCCTTCCTGTGAGAGGGCGACCTGGTCATGTGTTAGACATTCAGGTGCTAGGCCTTCCTTCAGAATAAAGAAGTATCTCATGAAAGGCACACTGTAGGTATGCACGATCACTTCTCCTGGAGTCCCAGCAGGAAAGAGCTAGAGTTTATAGACACTCTCCAGAGAGAGATCTTAAGGCCAAATTAGAGAAAATTACAACTATCAATATATGTAACCTGGAATAATCATTCAACCGTTAGTTGTGCAACTTAGTTAAGTTACTTAATTACTTTGATAATGAAAAGAATAATACCTAACTGGAGGAGTTGTGAGGACTACAAATTATATTTCTAACGCAGTTAACACATTGTCTGGCATGTTGAAGATGATCAATAAACAAATACATCTATAATTCTAGTTCTCATTGTGTAGGTTACTTTTTTATCATCAATCTATTTGTAATAGTAATTAAGCTCTCTGAGTGGTTGAAATCTCAATTTTTAAAACTCGAAAGGGGCAGAAACTCTCTGATTCTAATATATCAAACTCCTATGCTTAGATTGGTCAAGAGCACATCATATAGCTTAAAAATTCTGTCTTTATAAGATTAATTGTGTGTATACTGAGTTTAAGAACAAAAGTAATGCCATTCTACTTTGGCTAGTGAAATGAAATAGAATATTTATATTAATATGTTTAAAAATATATTAGTTTAAACTCTAAAAAACCCAATTCATTCACTTATCTGAAGCAATATTATTTTTATTTAAATAAAGTAATAATATTTTATTATTTTGAGTTAAGCATAAAAGGAATGATAAACTTCAATCAATTAGTATTGATATCGTATTTTAGAAACACAAATGTAAGATGTGAAATTTACAAAAAGTAAAGTACAATCTTTTTCTAGCTTTCAGAGATTTACTTCTTTGTCCTATTATAGGCAAAAACTGTTTTCTTTTTTTGTAATAGTGATAACACTACATTTGTATTTGGGCATGTCTATATCTAAGTGATTATTAAAATACTGCTATGAACAGAATGTCTGCACCCTGCCCCCCAAAATTCATATGTTGTACCCTAAATGTGATATTATTGGATAGAGGGCCTTTTGGAGGTAATTAGGGTTAGACTAGATCATGAAGTGGAACCATCATGGTGGAATGAATGGTCTTATGAAAAGACGAAGCAACATAGGATTTCACTCTCTGGGTGCCTACACCTAGGAAGGCCATGAGAGGACATAACCAGGAAGAGGGACTTCACCAAAATCCCTCGCATACTGGCACCTTTATCTCAGACTTCCAGCCTTCAGCACTTTAAAAAATAAATATTTGTTGTTTAAATCACTCAGTATGTGACATTCTGTTATAACAGCCAAAACAGATTGAGGCATTTATTATAGTTTGCTTCTAAGCATTTAATATAATGCCAATTGTGTAATTTCAATACTAAGAAATTGAATTGGTCAAGCTCTTAATTAAAACATTCTGTATTGCTTAAGTTTGAATCAACATAATTTGAAGGACCAGTATTGTAACAGAAAATGTAACAAATAGTAAGCATTATTTTCCCAAGATATCACTATTATAATTGTGTATCTTCATATATGTAATAAAGCATGGTAAGGTACAAATAAGCTGTGATTTATTTTTTCAAGAAAGTTTTAAGTATAAGCAATTTAAGACCACGGTTTCTTCATTTTTCATGGTACAATCAATTTGCCAACCCTTTTAGCCTTTCCCTTTTCAGGACCCTGAATAACCAAGCCACATCTTACTGTGAACAAATGAGTTTTGACACCTTGAGACATTTAATTATTTGCAACACTGAGTCAGATGAAGATGAAGCTGAAACTTTTCAAGCTCTAGAAAGATATATATGCTAAAAATGTCATTGTAGGATAGTTTCACCCTAAAAATTCACTGAATAAGTATAATAGAAATGTGCAAATAAGGCTGCAAATTTCTAAGAAATAAGCATATTACAAATTAAATAGAAATATAAATTTTAGCAGTTAATATTTTTTACATCCTACTATTCAGAAGTCTTTTTCAGAGGTGTATAAAATCTCAGAGATGGCACTGAGTACAAAGTTCATTTACTACAGCCATTCATTTTACAGTTGAGGGACCTGAGGTTCAGAGAGGTTAAGTGATTTGCCAAGGTCACTCTTCAGTTGCTATTAAACTTAGAGAGTCAAAACCTAGACTTATTATTTACTCAATATTATTTTATTAATTTTATTTCTTCATTTATCAAAACAATGGCAACTTAGGAACATCCAAGCCTGTTGTTGGTGAATAATATATTTAATGGGAAAACTGTGCTAATTAAATTCATATATGTATTAAAATGGTACAGTTAATTTGCCCAAATGAATTCATAGCTATGCCAATTTACATGGCTATAATGAAAGAATCCTGAGAATATTTAATTCATGAATTCTTTCATTCATTATTTCATTAGTAATTATTTAATGTTTATTGTATGAACTATTTCAGGAATATATACATGTATGTTTGTGTGGGAGCATATGTAAGCATGTGTCTGTTTTGGTTTTCTTCACAGTTCTTATAGTCCTGATTAAAAAAAGATTTTCTGAGAGTGATAATTGGTTGATTTGAGGACATAAAATAAATATTTCAATCAATATTTATTCACATTTGTCCATGGGAGAGAAATGATTTTAAGATGTGTGTGACTTAATGCAAAATATGTCCTGAACACACACACATTTTTTTAAATTTACTTGCTTATATAAGATATAATGTGAAATAAAATTGATTAAACTTTTAAGTATTAAATTATATAGGGAATGTGAAGAGCCCATTTTTACCTTTATTAGTGTAAGTATATTCAGCTTGAAGCTGTTAAAAATAAGTGTGTGTGTATATATGTATATATTATAATATATATATGTGTATATATATGTATATATTATATTATATGTAAATATACTTCTTTATTTTCTTTATTCTGGAAGAAGGCCTAATGCCTGAATGGCCAACACAAGATCAGTATATATATATATATATATATATATATATATATATATATATATATATACACACACATATATATATAAAATAAATCTATATGTAGATTTATGAAGTATAAGTAGAAAAATATAATAGAGGTATATATAAATATATATAAATATTACATAAGAAGCCATAAGTCTAGGGAGAAATATGTGTCTTATATGCTCATTTTTTCCTTTCTACAATTTACACATGCATATTCTGCATGAATTACATTTTATAACATTGAAAATCTTTGAACTTTTTTTGTATGTCATGAAATCTAAAGTTACTCATTGATTAATGAATACATCCTCCACTATTGTTAAATGAACAAGAAAAAATGTGTTTGTAGAAGTTTGAGTTTGTATCTGTAGAAATTTGTGTTTGTAGAAATATCTATTCAGACTTTTAATTACTTTTTTGTACTAAATTGGTTACCTTAATTGTCATAGTCATTTTCATTTTCTGATTTCATTTATGTATAATGAAACTTTGATAAGTTACCTACTATTATAAAGATACATATCTAACCTCTATATGGTGCATAAAGGCATCTTTGTTTGTAGAAGATTTTTTAAATGTTCATCTTACACTGTGTGACTGAATGATGTTAAGCAAGTTCTATAATGAAAGTATTATCTAAATGCTTAATTATTCATGTTTAAATATTATATATAAAAACATGCATATGTAGTATGTATATTAAATATGCCTATATATATCTTTGTCAATTTATTGAATTACTGATATGTTTTCACAAAAGTATAATCTCAACAGTTTTATAACTAAAAATAATTTGATTCTTTGGTGATTGATGGCATTCAAATTTCTGTTTAGAGTTTTCCTAGCATTTCATTAAAATATATTGATGTTGTATAGTTATTCTGAGCATATAGAATCATGTGATTTGTTTCTTGTCAAATTATTTACTAATTTCTATTAATGCAATTTTACATTTACTTGTTTGAAAAGTTTTATGTTCACAAGTAATTTGAATAAGATATTATGTATTTATCTTGGAAGAAAAACAGGATAAATTGTCAACACGTTATTGAACTAGGGAGAATGGCCAGTGCATTATACAAGGATGGGAGTACTCATTTTTTTAAAGACAAGAATTAGAAGCAAATGCCTCAAAACAGTAATTGACATTCATAAACTACTTTCCCTTAAAACATCTAAAAGTCATTTGAATAAATTACTTAATTAGCCCATTAGCAGCTTCCAGTGGTAGACATTGAATTGTAAGTACAATGTACTTTGTATTAACAGCATTGATGAAAAGTACTAGGGCAGATAATCTATAGAGACTTTACATGAAAAAAAAAAAGCTGGTGTTTAGCCAATGGTAGTCTTGTACACAGTGTTACACATATAAATTGTTTGCTAAGGTGAGAACACAGCCAAGATTGTTTGGTTTACTCTTTTTTCTCCCTGTTAATTTAGTTTTCCTCCTGAATTGTCTTAACTCTTTTTATTATTTTTTTCCGTTCTCTTTGTCCTCTGTCTTTTAAAAGAGAGAACAAATCTAAAATTGAGATAGAATTATTTTTTCTACATATATCCAGATTATGTTGAATGTCTATGCAAACATTTATTAAAAACAGCAAAGACAATAAGAACAACAAAGTATATACTTCAGTTTTTGTTTCTTTATACTAACTACAGGTGTTTAGGGAAATAGGATTCTGTGACTAATAGACAGTCTATTCTCTTTTATTTTTAAACAGCTTCATTAAAATATAATTTAATACATTTAACACTGATCATACTTAAAGAGTACATTTTGGTAATGTTTACCATAGTTATATACCCAGGAAATCAACACCATAGTCAAGAGAGTAAATGTATTCATCACCCAAAAACTTTATATTTAGTTGTAATCCTTTCCTCCTAGTCTTCCTTCCCAGAAAAAAATGTTGTGTGTTCAACTGCTATATCGTTTTATATTAGCTTGCATTTTCTGGAGTAACATATAAAAGGAATCATACAATATGTTTTATTATCTCGCTTCTTTCACTGGCAAAGTAATTTTGAGATTCATCCATGTTATCATCTGAATCAATATTTTAAATGGTAAATAATTTTTCATTGAAGATATGCCAGATTTGATTAATCCATTTACATGTTGATGAACATTAGGATTATTTCCATTTCTGCTTACAAAAAAGCTTCTATCAATATCTGTGTACAAGTTTTTGTATGGATATATATATATGTATACATATATATGTGTATACACATATCTATACATATATACATATATATGTGTGTATTTGTGTGTGTGTGTGTTTGTGTGTATATATATATATATATATATATATATATATATATATATAAAATATTCATTTATCTTAAGTAAATGCCTAGGAGTAACATATCTGGTTCATACAATAGATGTGTATTTAACTACAGGATGATTTCCCAAAGTAGCTGTACAATTTTACGTTCCCACAAGCAGCAATTTAATGCAAAGCAAATTTGCAAATAGGAAGGAATTGCTGTAAAAATAAAGCATTTTATTAAATATAAGTTCAAATGAATTTGTAATCCAAAGTTTTCTCATAACTGGGCCTCCTAACGTGTTTGATTACCACCTTTATTGAAACTGTTAGAACATAATCTAACATTTAAAAAATTTTGAGGGGAGTTTTAAGTTTTCTAACTAAAACAACTATGGAAGCAAAAGGTGAACACTGTAATACACAGTTATAATCATTTCATATATTAGAAAACTCACAAATTGGTTTTTTCACTGTATGGAACACACCGAAACATCATCTATTCACAAATGTACATTTGTTTTTCTGGACCTGGTCTTCTAATGCAATCTAGTGAAAGGCATATTATTTTAGAGTTTGGAAGGTTCAAGTACACTAAAATATTTTTTTGACAAAGAAGACAAGATAAGACATTAAAGAGATCCTATTCTGGAGTTTTTCCTTTGTAAAACTCAGATGAAATGTTTAAGAATTGAAATAAATTAATGATTAAAAACTTTACCACAAATATAGTTTGTAAGTATTATATACTACATTTATTTTTTATAATAATGTGCAATAATAATGCTTACAAATAATAATGTTTAAAGCATTATTAGCAAGAATTTTAAGAACTTTCTCCTGAAGTTTGAAAAGTGTTTTGTATTTTCGAAGAGGCCAAGTGCTCAACCTGCCTCAAAGAGTATCAATCTATCTTCCACACCTATACATGAAGAACAAAGTGACTGATGACTTCAATCCTGTCTGACTTTTCAGTGCAAAGCAATGTTGGTGCTGAACTTAGCCCTTTACCTCTGTGCAGCAGGTCTGTGGCTGTTCTGAGGTCTGTTTCCTAGCTACCTACACAAGCTTCTATGATACATCAGTGGAGGGTAGAGTTTACACACTGAGTGCTACAGCCTTCCAAGGAAAACACACATTGCTCTTAATGTTACGGTTCAATTGTATAGTTGCATTTGGGCCTCGTCGCTGAATTCCCAGAAGGTGAAACCTCTATCTCAGAAATTTTGAGCTCTTGTGCTATTCCTTGGAAACTACATGGGTTTTGTGTGAACAAAGAGGATAAATGTGGTGTTTAGAGAGAGGAAATGGAAATGAAAATGGAAATGGAAGTGGAATGGGTGTAGTTAGGGCCTTCAATACTTTCATTGTAATTTGTAATTATATATATTATATTAAGTATACTAAAATTAGATATCTAATATATGTTAGAATTGCATGATATATTCTCTCTGAATTAGAATTCCTAATATATATTAGACTGTTAGAATTATATAATTGTAATGTATAGATATATAAATAAGTTGAATTTAATACATTTTATAATATATTGTTTCTTCACTTTCTAAATTATAGATTCCTACCTTACAATGTTATCATGGTTGTCATTCAGGTTTGGAAGCATAAAGCAAAGTATATTTATTTACACACTTTATAGAAGAAAACATAGCAATTAGAAAATAATGCTTATGTTATTAAAAATAGTCTCTTTATAAAAGTGTTTATAAAGGCTGCCAATGGAGGCCAGAAGTTCGAGACCAGCCTGGCCAATGTGGTGAAACCCTGCCTCTACTAAAAGTACAAAAATTAGCTGGGCGTGGTAGTGCACACTAGTAATCCCAACTACTCAGAAGGCTGAGGCAGGAGAATGACTTGAATCTGGAAGCAGAGGTTGCAGTGAGCCAAAATAACACCACTGCACTCCAGCCTGGGTGACAGACTGAGACCCTGTCTCAGAAAAAAAAAAAAAAAAAAAAAAAAAAAGCACTAAGAAAAAGACTCTGGTATATTTTGGTTTTATTTAATCAACCAGCATTAACTTACTGCACATTCTGTTTTCCATTTTCTGAATGGCCACAGGAAGCTAAGAAAGACCGTTGATAGAAATGAGAAGTTGTTCAAGTAAGGGAGCCAAAACACCCAAAACTACTGAATACTAAGAAAATTGGTTTTATTAATGGTGCCAGTCTCAAGACTGTATTAGGCTAATACAAGAGACATTGGCATAGGTTAAGAATTTGCCCCATCTACCTACATACCCTGTGGCAGATCTCTGAACCCTTTGAAATTCTGCATTAAACGAATGATAATCACTTCCAGAACATCTTCTTGAGAAAAATCTGAGTTCTTTCTTTGCTGCATTGACATTAGGACATTTCTCATGGTTTTAGCTAGGGCCTTTACCAAATACACTTATGTATATAGCATTTATTCTGTAAGAGATATATGTCTAAAGTTTGAATTGGCAGTTATATGTATATTAGTATTTAAAATTTAAATTGATCCCCTTGCAAATTAGTCTGTAAATAAAAAGACATGGAAAGATTTTTTTTAAGTCACTGATTTTTTTATGTGAGAATATGGGTTTGGAATTTTTGGTGTTGCTTATTACTTAATTTATTCAACATGATTAGTCTTTCAACAAAATTGTCTTCATGTGCAGGAGTCACTATAATCAGAATTAAATGGGGTAATAAAACTGAAGCATAATCAATGTTCATTATATGTTAGAGGAAAGAATATATCTGACATCGGGTGCACATGGTATGGTAATATTTACATAGAAAGTGTAATTAATTGCCTTATTAGACCTAACTCTTTAATATTTTCTGTATCCATGCCATTTTCCATGTAACCCTGTTCTATGTCTTTGGGCTAGGCCATGTGATTTCATTGGTCCAACGAATGCCTGTAGAATTTCAACAAAAGGAGGCTTAATATAAGCTAGCAGTTTGTACTTCCTTTGTGCAGTTCTGACGTAGCCACAATAAGAAAAATTATCTGCTAGGCTGCTGATACATAGAGTATGAGAAACAGATGGAGCTGGCTTGCAATCTTCTGGTCAAAATGAGCCCACTCTAAATAAACTTACCTACAAATGCACAGATAAAATGGATTATTTCCATGAAAAGGTGCACAATTTTAAAGTAGTTTGTTATTTATTATTTCCACAATGGTTGATAAATAAAGAATGATAAGGTGGAAACTGCAAGTTGCAATCAGAAAATGGAGGGGTTTTTATTTTGGATTTCATCCTTCTACAAGGAACTGTTTATATTTACATTTGTACGATGCAGTCATATGTTGGGGATAAACCACATATTAGAGTACAAATTGGTTTCAGAATCAATATTTAGAAGGTTGGATTGAATGATTACTTCAATATCATTTCTGATATTGCTGAACTTATACATTATTAATTAATGATTACGAAATCTTATTGGTTGACTTCATTTCTAATTAGAATAAAAAGATTAACACCATGATAAAAAAACTTGTCTGACAAATTATTAGCACCTGTATATTCACTTTCAGATACTGACAAAATATTTGAGTCATACACATGTCAATGATCATGAAACAGATACGGCAAAGTCCATAAGTTAGGAATCATGCAAGTTTAATATTTTGCTGCTTTTTAAATCTGTGATTACAACATAGAAGTACTTAATTTACAAAAGAGAGAGGGTCCTTTTAATTGTCTTTCTTTCATCGAAGACAAATCACTTGATGACAAATTATTTTTAAATTGCCTTTGTTACATACTTGTAAAATATGTTGAAACAAAATGAAAAACCAACTAATGTTTTTGATGTGACATATTATGAAGTAAATTTCCCAAAAAAACTTTAAATATAGTTAATCTTCTAAATCTTATTTCTAGATTGTAGAAAAAAACAAAGAATTAAAAATTAAGAAATTCTCCATGCCTCACTGTCTTATTTCTCACCTAAGTACAGCTACCTAGATTTGATAATTCTACAATGTGTATATACTTCAAAACATCATGTTGCACATAATAAAACATACAAAATTATCTGTCATTTTAAGTTTAATAACAATAAAAGAGCTATGGTTTTCTCAGAAATTTTACCTTTTTCTACACAAAATATTATTTTGAACTATAAATTACATCAGCTTTATTTTAACATTAAGCAAATTACCTACATAAAATTTCATAATAACTTTCTTCCTCAAAAATTGGGTTAGTGTGTAAGTGGTTTTAAGTGTGCCTAGTGGAAATTAGAAAGGCCCTCTCATTTAAATGATGATAACTTTGTGATCAGATACTATTTCCCATAAATGTGCTATCATAATTAAGGAACATAATTCTGCATAATATTTATTTACTTGGAAGTATTTGACCTCTGTGAGAGACATAATAAATTACGATGTAATTAATTTTTTTTTTTGACAAAGTCTTACTCTGTCACCCAGGCTGGAGTGCTGTGGCCTTACTCCAGCTCACTGCAAACTCTGCCCCCCATGTTCAATTCTTGTGCCTCAGCCTCCAGGCATGCACCACCACGCCTGGCTCTTTTTTGTATTTTTGGTAGAGACGGGGTTTTGTCATGTTAGCCAGTCTGGTCTCAAACTCCTGGCCTCAAGTGACACCCCTGCCTTTATCTCCCAAAGTGCTGGGATTACAGGCATGAGCTACCACTCCTGACCTTTGATGATATTAATATTAAGACAAAAACACAACCAGATGCTTATCTTTATAGTTTCCCTTCTCTTATCTGAGTTCCTAGGTTTATAAGTAAGCCAGGTTATAAGTGATTCACAGTATTACAGGTTTGTACATGTATAGATATAAGTATTTTTTCTTGAAAATTACCTTGGGGTAAGTTTTTCTGTGTTTGTTTACTGTAGATATATTTTATACATGAATATGAAATGTTGATTGCATTGATATTTTCAATCAATATCAGTAAGAAAAATTTTCTACTATTGATACATGACAAATTGATATGTCTTAAAAATTATCATTTTTTTAAAAAATTACCAACCTGTACTTGAAATGTAATCAGTATTAGAAAATGCATATCCAATTATATCTTTCCTTTTCCATGGCAGATGTGTGATTTGGTATTAAGTTAATTACCAAATGCCTTTGCATTCTAACAGTTGGATATTTTAGACTTCAAAGGCAAATAGATTTTGAAGCAATATAATAACAAGCTTAGAATTGTGAAGTGCAGCAGGGCAGAAAAGTGGAAAATCAACAGGCTGAGTTGTGAGTATTTTTCAGAAGAGTTAATAAATCATAGTGTGACAACAGTAAAAAATGCAAGTCATATGTAGTACAAACATAATTCACTATAAATCAAATTTTATATCTGTTTAACATTAATATAATTAAAATTCAAGATGGCACATTATTGTACACATGGATTTCTAGTTAGATTTATTATGTTTCTGAATATCATCCTAGAAGTTCATCATATTTCTGTATAATTTTTGTTGTAATTGGCAGTAAACATAAAAACTGAATATTTTGGAAGTTTAACATTTTTTAATGAAGACATTTCCAAGTACCAGTGCTTTCAAACTTTCATTATTTTACAGTTAGCTCAGGGTTAATAGAAACTCTTTAACCCTGAACTAACTTTACTTATTAATAAACTTTCCTTAGATACAAGTCATATATAGCATGACAATTATAATCTATATTAACTATTGCTTACAAATGTTAAAAAATTCATCTGCATATTATAATCTAAAGTTCTTGAATGAAGTATCATTTTGAAACTCATCTACAGTCTTATTTCAAGTAATTTGATTACCTATTACATATGAAAGTTGACAGAAAAAATTAGGAAATAAATCTCTATGTCTGTAAATACAACTTATTTTAATAGAGATACACAAATTATTTATTTTGAAAGCTGTGTGTTTGATCTTAGGGACTTAAATATTTCTCACAGAAACTCTTATTTAATTAAAACAATTTGTGTATCTTCTATCAGATAACATTTATTTTAAAAAGACTTTTAAGAAAAAAATGTTGCAACATTTTGACTAATATATTGATTATTCAATCACTATTTATGTAAATGGGTAGTTCAGCACCAAAATTGTTTATTTGCTAAATATAAATACTCTGTGGAAGAACTGGTATTAATCATTCTCTGGTGAATAAGTCTAGATATTTTAGCGGATTTTATAAATAGTTCAATTCTGCATTTGGCATGTTTTTTAATGTTTGCTTTCACATTGTCCCCTTTCCAGCCTCTCTCTCCTCCCCCTACCTCTTTACCCCTCTCTCTCTCTCAATCTCTTTTTCTCTCTACTCTTCTCTCTTTGTGTGTCTCTTAAGCGCTTTGCCCTTTTCTTTATACATGATAGATATTTAATTTATATGTTTGATAAAAATACACTACAAAATGAACAAAATATTTGGTAAATACTCTGAAAACGTTATAGGAATATTAACCTATGAGCCATAACAAATGTAACAGAAAATTGAATAAGTAAATTTTAATTCATTTATTTTTCATGCTTAAATATACTATAGATACCATACATACAAAGTTATGCACCTAACTAAACTGACAGTTCTTTTAATGCTCTCATTTTCTGGGACAAACACATAGCAGGGATCAGTTTTGGTTTTACGTTCATTAAATAATTCAAATATTATTCAAGTAAGTATGGAAGAATGTCACAAATGCCAATAAATACCTTTCTATGACAGCAAATACTTTTGATTAATCATTTAATTATTGTTTAAATTTTATATTTACTATAAATAGAATATAAGGAGTAAAGTTAGCTAAGGTCAAATATTATTATTTCATGAGATTACCCAATATTGTTTTTACTGATCATATTCTTTTTATTTTAAAAACATATGCAAAGTAAGTGTTGAAGTAAGTGAAACTCACTTAAATTCAGAAATTGTTCCAGGCAAAAAATCGTCAACATAACAAGTTTTTTTAATACTGTGCTATTTGAATGTAAATTTTGTTTTTATTTGCAAGCTAAACACATCATAATCTATGAACTATATGGCATGATCAAAAGTACTAATGAATGCTTGGAAACAAACTGTGGTAATAAAAGCTTGTGAAAAATGAATAGAAAACAACACCTGTGATTGAAATAAGTTATTTGAAATTTGTAACTCCTCAACAGAAGAAAAATAAAAATAACAGTTATAGACTTCTGGAAGAAACAAATTCGCTTTCTCCCATTCTCTCTTTCTGTGTGTGTGTATGTGTGTGTGTGTGCATGTGTGTGTGTGTGTATTTAATTCCACTTCTAGACATGTACCCAAATGAATTGAAAACAGGGATGCAAACAAATAAGTTCATGCCCATGTGTGTTGCAGCATTATTTACAGTAACCAAGAAGTGAGAACAAGCCAATTGTTCATCAGCAGATGAATGGATAAACAAAATGTAATATTATAATAATGAAGTGCCACTTGACTACACAAAAGAGTAAAGTACTAATACCTGCTACAACAATAATGACTTGAAAGCATTATGTAATGGCGAGGAGGCAGAGCAATATGGCTAAATAGAACCCTCCAGTACACATTCCTCTCTTAAGAATGTCAAATTAAACAACTATACAAAGAAGAAAACAATTCCATAGGAATCAAAAATCAGATGAGTGATTACAGTACCTGGTTTTGTTATTATGTCAATAAAAGAAGCACTGAAGTGGATAGGAAAGGCAGTCTTGAATTGCATACACAATCCCTCCTTCATTACCCCTGGCAGTGACCTCAGTAGCACAGAGAGATAATCTGTGTACTGGGGAAGGGAGAGTGCAACGATTGTAGAACTTTGCATTGGAACTCAGTGCTGCTTACCACATGGGACAGCAACACAGAGCAGAACTCAGCTGGCGTCCAGAGAAGGAGCATTTAGACCAATCTTGGCCAGAGACAAATCATCCATTTTAGTGGTTGGAACCTGTAATTCAGGCAAGCACCACCACCGCAGGTTAATGTGCTCTGGGGTTCTAAACAAATTTGAAAGGCAATCTAAGCCACAAGACTGCAATTCTAAGGAAAGTGCTGCTGCTGGGCTGGGCTTAAAGCCAGTAGACTTGAGGTGAAGGTGAGACACCAGCTGGAGTGGCCAAGGGAGTGCGTGTGTCACTCCTCACCCAATCCAAGGCAGCTCAGCTCAGCTTAGCCAAAGAGGGTTAGAGTGGCAAGTGGGAGTTTGTGGTCTCTGCTTCCAGACTTTGGCTCCCGGATGGCATTTCTGGACCTGCAGTGGGCCAAAGGGGAGACCACTGGCCTGAAGGGAGAGATCCAGGCCTGGCAGCATTTTCACAAGCTGACTGAGGAGCTCTTGGGCCTTGAGTGAGCATTGATAATATCCAGGCAGCAAACAACATGGGCTCCTTGTGGTGGTGACCATAGCGTATTAGTCAGAGTTCTCTAGTGGGACAATATTAATGGAATTATATATGGGAGTTTCTTAAGTATTAACTCACATGATCACAAGGTCCCACAATAGGCCAACTGCAGACTGAGGAGCAAGGAGAGCCAGTCCAAGTTCCAAAACTGAAGAACTTAGAGTCTGATGATTGAGGGCAGGAATCACTCAGCATGGAAGAAAGATGTACGCTAGGAGAAAAACGCTGTTTTTCACATTGTTCTGCCTACTTATATTCTAGCCATGCTGGCAGCTGATTAGATTGTGTCCACCCAGATTAAGGGTGGGTCTACCTTTCCAAGCTCACTGACTCAAATGTTAATCTCTTTTGGCAGCACCCTCACAGACAAACCCAGAATCAATACTTTGTATCTTTCAATCCAGTCAGGTTGACACTCCGTATTAACCATCACAAGTCCATTCCTTGTCAACTTGAACCCATACACACCTCCTGAGATCACATATAATCTTCAAATAAAGACAATAATAAGGTCATAATTACACCTAGCCTAATACAACTAACAAATGGAAACACACCAATCCCCCACCCAAATACTATTACATAAAGTTAACAATACTTAAATACTGATGTTAGTCAATAAATCTTATGTCACGTGAAAAAGGAGAAAGGAAATAAAATGATATTTTCTTAGTACAAGTGTATACATGCACAAACAAACAAAAAAAAAAAAACATGTTTTTAAAAAAAGAAGAAGGAAATACTCATGATAATTACAGTCCTCATTTCTGCAGCTGGTTAGTTGGTCATAGCTGGTATTGATGACTACCTTCTTCTAGTACCCATTCTGTAATCCCTTTGCCTTCTGCAAACACCTCAGCAGATCGTGGTTGTTTTCCTGGTGCAGTGACCCAAACCTTCATTCTTGAAGGGTCTGGGTCATTTGTAGTCCTGCCTGGATTGGGCTACTATAGTTTCCCATTGACCTTAATCACAGGGCATGGTAATACTAAGAGACACCCTAATGGATCTCCTGTATTTCATGCATATTCTTCCTTACCTCTGTTCTGGAGTAGTAGACTGATTTCATCTTGATAGTCCAGGTCAGACACCCCAGCCAACACAGTAACTTCCTTCTTAGCCGGTTGATCCAAAGGTAGGAGGAGCCCAAACTGTCCAGGTGGCAATCCTAACTTCCAGTTTAACAAAACTGTTGTGTCTCCTAGTTGCAGTGTACGTCCTTCTGGAACTAAGACCTCTAGCCCACCAGAATGTAATGTCGCAGGAACAGGAAGCAAAAACTTTGCTAGTGGATCACTTGGGGTGTTGGTGATTGGTGCCACTTCCACATCCACCCCTTGACTCCTGGACCTGTGAATCCTGGTTATAGGACAAACAGTACCATATATTGATCACTGATTCAGAACATACACGACCTTCTTGAGAACTTTGCCCAGCCCTGCAAAGTATTGTCACATAGTTGGCATTGTAATTATAACTTCAAAAGGCCATTCCACTGTTCTTTCAATCCAGCTGCTTCAGGAGGATTGGGAACATAATAAAACCTGTGAATTTTATGAGCATGAGTTCACTACTGCACTTCTTTAGTCGTAAAGTGAGTGCATTGGTCGGGGCAATGCTGTGTGGAATACCATGATGGTGGATAAGGCATTCCGTGAGTCCACAGATGGTAGTCTTGGCAGAAGCATTGCATGAAGAGTAGGCAAGCCCATACCTGGAGTAAGTGTCTATTTCAGTGAGGACAAACCTCTGCCTTTTCCGTGATGGAAGAGGTCTAGAAGAAAACAGGGGTATTGGGGCTGGCTCCTGAGGAGAGTCAACATTATCTTGCCTGGCAACTGCCTCAGGGGAAATCATCACTGTTGTCTCAGGCAGTTCAGGGTTTATCTTCTCAGACAAAGTTGGAAAGGCTGACGGCAGCATGGGTCAGGGAGGGGATGTTGTGACTACTGGGGATTGGGAAGCTGTTCCTTCTGGCAAAAAAGTTTCATCGGAGTTTACAAATGCAGTGTCCTCAGCTTCATCAGGGTCCTTCAACGATTTCCCATTCCAAGTTGCAGGCTCCCATTTTTTTCAAATCAATGCCCTCACTTCAGCAGTAGACACCTGGCAAGGTGCACCTTTTGTTGCAGCTCAGCCACTGTCATGATAAGAGCCTGTGTCTGATTTTCCACACTTTCAGTTGTTTCTCTACTGGAGATAAGACCCTCATTCAGGGCAAGCCTAGCAAATTTGAGGCTCAGTATCTGCTTTTGAAGCTAGGAGATAGAATCTTTGAGTTCATCATTTTATTTCAACACTTTGTTCAGTGAACTTAGGAGCAGCCAACCAGCTTCATTGTGTTCCTTGGTTCTCCACATATGGTCAAAGGTGTTATGTATAGAGTCACTAAACTCTTTGCCTCTCACAAGTGATAAATCAGGAGTTTCAAATGCATTTATTTTGGATAACTCTCTAAACAGTTCACACCAAGGACTATCAGTGTTCTCCATACTAATAGAAGTAGAGACTTTAGCATTTTTGGGTCTAATCATATTAAGCAGCCAACAATAGGAACCCTAATAAGAACATATATATATATATATGTGTGTACATATATATATGTGTGTACATATATATGTGTGTGTACATATATATGTGTGTGTACATATATATGTGTGTGTACATATATATGTACACACATATATATGTACACACACAGACACACACGTGTGTGTGTGTGTGTATATATATATATGAGCTTATTAAGTATTAACTCACAAGATTACAAGGTCTCACAATAGGCCATCTACAGATGGAGGAGCAAGGAGAGCTAGTCCAAGTTCCAAAACTGAGGAACTCAGAGTCTGATGTTCGAGAGCAGGAAGCATCCAGCACCGAAGAAACATGTAGGCTGAAAGGCTAGGCCAGAGTCTCTCTTTTTCACATTTTTCTGCCTGCTTGTATTCTAGCCATGCTGGCAGCTGATTAGATTGTGCCCACCCGGATTAAGGGTGGGTCTGCCTTTCCCAGCCCACTGCTTCATATGTTAATCTATTTTGGCTACACCCTCACAGACACACTAATGATCAATACTGCATATCTTTCAATCCAGTCAAGTTGATACCCAGTATTAACCATTACACATGGGTACAGACTCCTTCTCCATGACAAAAGGAAGAGGAACAGTGGGAAAATCTCTGTCCTGTGACTTGAGTGCCAACTCAGCCACAGTAGAATAGAAATCCAAGTGGATTCCTAAGTTTCCTGACTCTCAGATGGCATTTCTGGACCTTTCCTTGGGCAGGGGAAAGAAGACCCACCACCCTGAAAGGGAGGATGCAAGCCTGGCTGTGTTCACCACGTGCTAATTGTAGAGCCTTTGAGCCTTCAGTGACCATATCCTGTAGCCAGTCAGTAGACATTGCGTGCCTTGAGACAGTTTCAATGCTTTGCTGGCTTTAGGTCTGAACTAGCACAGTCCCAGTGGTGGTGGCTATAGGGGTGCTTGTGTCACTCCTTCATCAGCTCCGTGCAGCTCAGGGGAGAGGAGAGAGAGAGAGAGACAGAGAGAGAGAGGGAGAGACTCCATTTGTAAGGAAAAAAAGAGGAAGAGAACAGGTGTCTCTGTCTGGTAATCCAGAGAATTATCTAAAATTTTTCCCAAGACCACCAAAGAAGTACTCCTATGTGTGTGCTAGCTTCACAGCATTGCTGGGCTTGGAGTGCCCCATAATGCTGATACAATTGCATTGACCAAAGACTCAGATTACAAAACTCAATTCATCTGGAATACTTTAAAAGCCTTCCCAAGGAGGATGGGTACAAGCAAGGCCAGACTACAAAGAATACAATTAATAGCTAACTTTTCAATGCCCTGATATCAACAAATATCCATAAGCACCAAAACATGACCTCACCAAATAAAATAAATAAGGCACCAGTAACAAATCCCAGAGTGACAGAGATAATGTAACTTTAAAGTAAGATAATTCAAAATAGCTATATTGACGAAGCACATTAAAATTCAAGATAACACAGAAAAGGAATTCAGAATCCTATCCGATAAATTTATGAAAGTGATTGAAATAATTTTTCAAAAATCTGGCAGGAATTGTTTAGCTAATACATTCAATTAACATACCAAAGAATGTATCAGAGTATCTCAAGCATAACTGATCAAGTAGAAGAAAAAATTAGTGATCTTGAAACAGACTATTTGAAAATACACAGACAGAGGAGACAAAAGAAAAAAAAATAAAAAAGAGTAAAGCACATCTGTAAGATCTTGAAATGGCCTTCCAAAAGGCAAATCTAAGAGTTGTTGGCCTTAGGAGGAGGTAGAGAGAGAGAATGGGGTAGAAAGTTTTTTCAAAAGAATAGTAACACAGAATCCCAAAACCTAGAAAAATATGAACAGTATTTAAGTACAATAAGTTTATAGAGCACCAAGCAGATTTAGCCCAAATAAGACTTCTTCAAGAAATTTAATAATCAAACACCCAAAAAGCAAGGGTAAAGAAAGTCTCCTGAAAGTAGAAAAAGGAAAGAAACAAATAATACAATGGAGCGGCAAAATGGCAGCATAATTCTCAATGGAAAATTGCAGGTCAAGGGAGACATACATAAAGTGATATAAAAGAGGAACTTTTATCCTAGAATAGTATTTAGAGCAAAAATATCCTGTATTCATGAAGGAGAAATAAAGACATCCCCAGAGAGAAACAAAAGCTAAGGGATTTCATCAACCTCATAACTGTCCTACTAGTATGCTAAAGGGAATTCTTCAATCTGAAAGAAACAGACCTAAATGAGCAAGAAATCATCTGAAGGTAGAAAACTCACTAGTAATTGAAAGTACACAGAAAAGCACAGAATGTGATAACTCTTATTGTGGTGTATAAACTACTCATATGCTGAGTAGAAAGACTAAAAGAGGACCCCATCAAAAATTACTACCAAAATTTCAAACATAGTATAATAAGAAATGAATAGAAACAACAAAAAGTTTAAAAGTAGGGAAATGAAGTTAGAGTGTAGAGGTTTTTAGTTTTCTCTTTATTTGTTTGTTTCTATAATTAGTGTTAAGTTGTAATAAATTTAAAATAATGAGTTATAAGATGTTATGTGCAAGCCTATGGTAACCTAAAATTTAAAAACCTATAACAGCTACACACACACACACACACACACACACACACAAGAAATTTAAACATGCTGCCAGAGAAAATTACCTTCAGTGGGAATGATGAAGGGTAGGAATAAAAGAAGGAATGGAAAACCACAAAACAACCAGAAAATAAATAACACAATAGCAGTGGAAAGTTCTTACTTACCAGTAATAACATTGAAGGTAAATGGACTAAACGCTCATTGAATCATTTGTAACACAAAGGAAAGATAAATAAAGTGATGGATAGCCTAGTTACCCTATTGTGATTATTAAGCATTGTGTGCCTATATCAAAATATCTCATGTACCCCATGAATATATACACCTATTATGTACCCAAAAAGATTTTTTAAAAGACAAAGAGTAGCTGAATGAATAAAAAGTACCAATGATCTGTTGCATAAAATGATCACACTTTACCTATAAAGACACACATGGATTGAAAATAAAGAGATGCCAAAATATATTCTATGTCAATTGAAATAAAAAAAGATGGGGGTAACTATACTTATATCAGACAAAATAGAATGCAGAACAAAAACTATAAAGGAGACAAAGAAGATTATTACACAGTAATAAAGGGGTCAGTTTAGCAAGAGAATAAAACAATTGTAAATCTATATATACTAAACACTGGAGCACCCAGAAATATAAAAAATATATTATTAAAGACAGAGGTAGATCCGAACACAATAATAACTGGAGACTTAAATACCCTACTTTCTATATTAGATAGATCATTCAGACAGAATATTAACAAATATCACTTAATCTACCCTATAGACAAAATGGATCTAACAGATTTTTTTCAGAACACTTCATCCAATGGCTGCAGAATACATATTCTTTTCCTCAGCACATGGATCACTGTCAAGGATAGGCCAAAAAAGCAAACCTTAAAAATTCTAACAAAGTGCAATCAGATCAAGTATTTTCTCTGACCACAGTGCAATAAAACTAGAAATTAAATATATGAAGAAGTTTGGAAATGATACAAACACATGAATTTAAATAATATGCTCCTGAATAGCCAATGTATTAATGAAGAAATTTGAAATAAAACTTAAACATTTCTGAAAACAAATGAAGATAGAAATATGCATACCAAGACCTATGGAATACAGCAAAAGCAGTATTAAGAGGAAAGTTCATAATAATAAGAGCCAACATGAAAAAGTAGAAAAACTACAAATAAACAACCTAACAGTGCATCTTAAAGAAACAGAAAAGCAAGAGCAAATCAAATAAAAAATTAGTAGAAGAAAATAAATAATAAAGATCAGAGCAGAAATAAATGAAATTGAAACAAAACAATACAAAAATCAATAATGCAAAAGGGTTGTTATTTGAAAAGTAAGGAAGATTGACAAACTTTTAGACAGACTAAGAAAAAGAGAGGAAATGTCCCTGTCTGACAGCTTTGAAGAGAGCAGTGGCTCTCCCAGCATGCAGCTGGAGATCTGAGAAAGGGCAGACTGCCTCCTCAAGTGGGTCCCTGACCCCTGACCCCCGAGCAGCCTAACTGGGAAACACCCCCGAGTAGGGGCAGACTGACACCTCACACGGCCGTGTACTCCTCTGAGACAAAACTTCCAGAGGAACGATCAGACAGCAGCATTCGCGGTTCACAAAAATCTGCTGTTCTGCAGCCACTGCTGCTGGTACCCAGGTAAACAGGGTCTGGATTGGACCTCTAGCAAACTCCAACAGACCTGCAGCTGAGGGTCCTGTCTGTTAGAAGGAAAACTAACAAACAGAAAGGACATCCACATCAAAAACCCATCTGTACATCACCATCATCAAAGACCAAAAGTAGGTAAAATCACAAAGATGGGGAAAAAACAGAGCAGAAAAACTGGAAACTCTAAAAACAGAGCACCTCTCCTCCTCCAAAGGAACGCAGTTCCTCACCAGCAATGGAACAAAGCTGGACGGAGAATGACTTTGACGAGCTGAGAGAAGAAAGCTTCAGACTATCAAACTACGAGCTACAGGAGGAAATTCAAACCAAAGGCAAAGAAGTTGAAAACTTTGAAAAACATTTAGACGAATGTATAACTAGAATAACCAATACAGAGAAGTGCTTAAAGGAGCTGATGGAGCTGGAAGCCAAGGCTTGAGAACTACGTGAAGAATGCAGAAGCCTCAGGAGCCGATGCGATCAACTGGAAGAAAGGGTATCAGTGATGGAAGATGAAATGTATGAAATGAAGCGAGAAGGGAAGTTTAGAGAAAAAAGAATAAAAAGAAACGAACAAAGCCTCCAAGAAATATGGGACTATGAGAAAAGACCAAATCTCCATCTGATTGGTGTACCTGAAAGTGATGGGGAGAATGGAACCAAGATGGAAAACACTCTGCAGGACATTATCCAGGAGAACTTCCCCAATCTAGCAAGGCAGGCCATCATTCAGATTCAGGAAATACAGAGAATGCCACAAAGATACTCCTCGAGAAGAGCAACTCCAAGACACATAATTTTCAGACTCACCAAAGTTGAAAAGAAGGAAAAAATGTTAAGGGCAGCCAGAGAGAAAGGTTGGGTTACCCACAAAGGGAAGCCCATCAGACTAACAGCGGATCTCTCGACAGAAACTCTACAAGCCAGAAGAGAGTGGGGGCCAATATTCAACATTCTTAAAGAAAAGAATTTTCAATGCAGAATTTCGTATCAAGCCAAACTAAGCTTCATAAGTGAAGGAGAAATAAAATCCTTTACAGACAAGCAAATGCTGAGAGATTTTGTCACCATCAGGCCTGCCCTAAAAGAGCTCCTGAAGGAAGCACTAAACATGGAAAGGAACAACCGGTACCAGCCACTGCAAAATCATGCCAAATTGTAAAGACCATCGAGGCTAGGAAGAAACTGCATCAACTAACGAGCAAAATAACCAGCTAACTTCATAATGACAGGATCAAATTCACACATAACAATATTAACTTTAAATGTAAATGGGCTAAACGCTCCAATTAAAAGACACAGACTGGCAAACTAGATAAAGAGTCAAGACCCATTAGTGTGCTGTATTCAGGAAACCCATCTCATGTGCAGAGACACACATAGGCTCAAAATAAAAGGATGGAGGAAGATCTACCAAGCAAATAGAAAACAAAAAAAATGGAAAATAAAACAGGCTTTAAACCAACAAAGATCAAAAGAGACAAAGAAGGCCATTACATAATGGTAAAGGGATCGATTCACAAGAAGAACTAACTATCCTAAATATAGATGCACCCAATACAGGAGCACCCAGATTCATAAAGCAAGTCCTGAGTGACCTACAAAAAGACTTAGACTCCCACACAATAATAATGGGAGACTTTAACACCCCACTGTCAACATTAGACAGATCAACGAGACAGAAAGTTAACAAGGATACCCAGGAATTGAACTCAGCTCTGCACCAACCGGACTTAATAGACATCTACAGAACTCTCCACCCCAAATCAACAGAATATACATTTTTTTCAGCACCACACCACACCTATTCCAAAATTGACCACATAGTTGGAAGTAAAGCTCTCCTCAGCAAATGTAAAAGAACAGAAATTTTAACAAACTGTCTCGCAGACCACAGTGCAATCAAACTAGAACTCAGGATTAAGAAACTCACTCAAAACCCCTCAACTACATGGAAACTGAACAACCTGCTCCTGAATGACTACTGGGTACATAATGAAATGAAGGCAGAAATAAAGATGTTCTTTGAAACCAACGAGAACAAAGACACAACATACCAGAATCTCTGGGACACATTCAAAGCAGTGTGTACAGGGAAATTTATCGCACTAAATGCCCACAAGAGAAAGCAGGAAAGATCTAAAATTGACATCCTAACATCACAATTAAAAGAACTAGAAAAGGAAGAGCAAACACATTCAAAAGCTAGCAGAAGGCAAGAAATAACTAAAATCAGAGCAGAACTGAAGGAAATAGAGACACAAAAAACCCTTCAAAAAATTAATGAATCCAGGAGCTGGTTTTTTGAAAGGATCAACAAAATTGATAGACTGCTAGCAAGACTAATAAAGAAGAAAAGAGAGAAGAATCAAAGGGACGCAATAAAAAATGATAAAGGGGATATCACCACTGATCCCACAGAAATACAAACTACCATCAGAGAATACTACAAACACCTCTATGCAAATAAACTAGAAAATCTAGAAGAAATGGATAAATTCCTCGACACATACACCCTCCCAAGACTAAACCAGGAAGAAGTTGAATCTCTGAATAGACCAACAACAGGCTCTGAAATTGTGGCAATAATCAATAGCTTACCAACAAAAAAGAGTCCAGGACCAGATGGATTCACAGCCGAATTCTACCAGAGGTACAAGGAGGAACTGGTACCATTCCTTCTGAAACTATTCCAATCAATAGAAAAAGAGGGAATCCTCCCTAACTCATTTTATGAGGCCAGCATCATCCTGATACCAAAGCCCGGCAGAGACACAACCAAAAAAGAGAATGTTAGACCAATATCCTTGATGAACATTGATGTAAAAATCCTCAATAAAATACTGGCAAAACGAATCCAGCAGCACATCAAAAAGCTTATCCACCATGATCAAGTGGACTTCATCCCTGGGATGCAAGGCTGGTTCAATATATGCAAATCAATAAATGTAATCCAGCATATAAACAGAACCAAAGATAAAAACCACATGATTATCTCAAGAGATGCAGAAAAGGCCTTTGACAAAATTCAACAACCCTTCATGCTAAAAACTCTCAATAAATTAGGTACTGATGGGACGTATCTCAAAATAATAAGAGCTATCTATGACAAACCCACAGCCAATATCATACTGAATGGGCAAAAACTGGAAGCATTCCCTTTGAAAACTGGCACAAGACAGGGATGCCCTCTCTCACCACTCCTATTCAACATAGTGTTGGAAGTTCTGGCCAGGGCAAACAGGCAGGAGAAGGAAATAAAGGGTATTCAATTAGGAAAAGAGGAAGTCAAATTGTCCCTGTTTGCAGATGACATGATTGTATATCTAGAAAACCCCACTGTCTCAGCCCAAAATCTCCTTAAGCTGATAAGCAACTTCAGCAAAGTCTCAGGATACAAAATCAATGTACAAAAATCACAAGCATTTTTATACACCAATAACAGACAAACAGAGCCAAATCATGAGTGAACTCCCATTTACAATTGCTTCAAAGAGAAAAAAATACCTAGGAATCCAACTTACAATGGACGTGAAGGACCTCTTCAAGGAGAACTACAAACCACTGCTCAAGGAAATAAAAGAGGATACAAACAAATGGAAGAACATTCCATGCTCATGGGTAGGAAGAATCAATATAGTGAAAATGGCCATACTGCCCAAGGTAATTTATAGATTCAATGCCATCCCCATCAAGCTACCAATGACTTTCTTCACAGAATTGGAAAAACTACTTTAAAGTTCATATGGAACCAAAAAAGAGCCGGCATCACTGAGTCAATCCTAAGCCAAAAGAACAAAGCTGGAGGCATCACGCTACCTGACTTCAAACTACACTACAAGCCTACAGTAACCAAAACAGCATGGTACTGCTACCAAAACAGAGATATAGAACAATGGAACAGAACAGAGACCTCAGAAATAACGCTGCATATCTACAACTATCTGATCTTTGACAAACCTGAGAAAAAAAAGCAATGGAGAAAGGATTCCCTATTTAATAAATGGTGCTGGGAAAACTGGCTAGCATATGTAGAAAGCTGAAACTGGATCCCTTCCTTACACCTTATACAAAAATTAATTCAAGATGGATTAAAGACGTAAATGTTAGACCTAAAACCGTAAATACCCTAGAAGAAAACCTACGCATTACCATTCAGGACATAGCCATGGGCAAGGACTTCATGTCTAAAACACCAAAAGCAATGGCAACAAAAGACAAAATTGACAAATGGGATCTAATTAAACTAAAGAGCTTCTGCACAGCAAAAGAAACTACCATCAGAGTGAACAGGAAACCTACAAAATGGGAGAAAATTTTCACAACCTACTCATCTGACAAAGGGCTAATATCCAGAATCTACAATGAACTCAAACAAATTTACAAGAAAAAAACAAACAACCCCAACAAAAAGTGGGCGAAGGACATGAACAGACACTTCTCAAAAGAAGACATTTATGCAGACAAAAAACACATGAAAAAATGCTCATCATCACTGGCCATCAGAGAAATGCCAATCAAAAGCACAATGAGATACCATCTCACACCAGTTAGAATGGCGATCATTAAAAAGTCAGGAAACAACAGGTGCTGGAGAGGATGTGGAGAAATAGGAATACTTTTACACTGTTGGTGGGACTGTAAACTAGTTCAACCATTGTGGAAGTCAGTGTGGCGATTCCTCAGGGATCTAGAACTAGAAATACCATTTGACCCAGCCATCCCATTCCTGGGTATATACCCAAAGGACTATAAATCATGCTGCTATAAAGACACATGTGCACGTATGTTTATTGTGGGACTATTCACAATAGCAAAGACTTGGAACCAACCCAAATGTCCAACAACGATAGACTGGATTAAGAAAATGTGGCACATATACACCATGGAATACTATGCAGCCATAAAAAAGATGAGTTCATGTCCTTTGTAGGGACATGGATGAAATTGGAAATCATCATTCTCACTAAACTATCGCAAGAACAAAAAACCAAACACCACATATTCTCACTCATAGGTGGGAATTGAACAATGAGAACACATGGACACGGGAAGGGGAACATCACACTCTGGGGACTGTTGTGAGGTGGGGGTAGGGGGGAGGGATAGCATTAGGAGATATATGTAATGCTAAATGACCAGTTAATGGGTGCAGCACACCAGCATGGCACACGTATACATACGTAACTAATCTGCACATTGTGCACATGTACCCTAAAACTTAAAGTATAATAATAATAAAGAAAAAGAGAGAATATCCAGAAAATAGATATAATCAGAGATCAATAAAGAGACCCTATAACCAATATTGCAGAAATATGAACGATCATTAGAGGGTACTATGATCACCTATATGCCAATAATTGGGAAAATCTAGAAGAAATGGATTAATTCCTATGCACCTGTAACATACCAAGATAGAACCATGAAGAAATTCAAAACTGATCAGACCAATAACAGGAAATGAGATCAAGTCATAATAAAATGACTCCCAGCAAAAAAAAAAAAAAAAAAAAAAAAAGCCCCTGAAACTGATGGCCTTACTACTAAATTTTAGTAAACATTTAAAGCACTAATATCAATCCTACGCAAAGTATTGTAAAAAATCGAAGAGTGAATACTTTCACATTTATTATATGAGGCCATTATTACCCTGATACTAAAACCAAAGACACATCAAAAAATAATAATAACACATAAAAAATAAATCCCAGTATGATGAACATTGATGCAAAAATTATCACTAACTACTAGCAAACTGAATTCAGTAACACATTAAAAAGGCCATTTATTATTACCAAGTGAGATTTATCCCAGAAATTCAAAGTTGGTTCAATGTACACAAATCAATCAATGTGATATTCAATATAAACAGAATAAATAGGCCAGGGCACAATGGTGCAAGGCCATAATCCCAGAACTTTGGGGAGGCTGAGGTGGGTGGATCATCTAAGGTCAGAAGTTCGAGACCAGCCTGGCTAATATGGTGAAACCCATCTCTACTAAAAATACAAAAATTACCCAGCTACTAGGGAGGCTGAGGCAGGAGAATCACTTGAACTCAGGAAGTGGAGGTTGCAGTGAGCTGAGAAAGCACCACTGCAGTCAAGCCTGGACGACAGATTGGAACTCTGTCTCAAAAAGAAAAAAAAAAAAAAACAGAATAAATGACAAAAAATAATTATTTCAATTGATGCTGAGAAAGCATTAGATAAAAATTCAACATCTCTTCATGATAAAAAAACCCTCAAAAAATTGTATAGAAGGAACACGCCTCAACACAATAAAAGTCATATGATAGTACCACACCTAGTATTGCATTCAATGGACCACACCTAGTATTGCAGTGAATGGGGAACAACTGAAAGCCTGAAGGTGTGGTGTGTAGACCACTCCTCTCTTGAGTAGAAAGACCGACTGATGAACCTATCAAAAATAGTAACTTCAGCAAGTTCTCTTAAGGGTTTTAGATTTTAAGGTTTTTAAATTTTAGATTATCATAAGTCTTACAAATAAACTATCAGATGTAGAACAAGACAAGGTGTTCACTGTTACTCACTTTCACCACTGTTAATTCAGCATAGTTTTGAAAGTCAAGATAGAGGAATTAGACAAGGAAAAGAAAAAAAAGGTATTCAAATAGGAAAGGATGAATTCAAATTATCCTTTTTTGCAGATGATATAATCATTTTTTTGGAGAAACCTAAGATTCCACCCAAAACCTATTAGAGCTGATAATCAAATTCAGCAAATTTGTAGAATACAATATCAACCTACATGAATAGTTGCTTTTCCATATGTCAACAATGTACAATCTGAAAAAGAAATCAAGAAATTAATTTCATTTAGAATAGCTAGAAATAAAATAAGATATAGGAATAAATTCACCCAAAAGAGTGAAATATTTGTACAATAAAAACAACAAAAATTAATGCAAGCAATTAAAGAAGACACAAAAAATGAAAAGATATTCTCTTAATTGATTAGAAGAATCAATATTGTTAAAATATTTATACTACCCAAAGCAATCTGTAGAGTCAATACAATTCCTGTCACAATACCAATAACATTATTCACAGAAACAGAAAAAAAATCTAAAACATATATGGAACCATCAAAGACCCAAACAGATAAAGTTATCCTGAGGAAAAAATAAATAAATAAATAAAACTGGAGGAATCACATTACCTGACTTCAAATTATACTACAGAGCCATAGTATCTAAAACAGCATGGTACTGGCATAAAAACTGGCACAGACCAATGGAACAGAATAGAAAAACTAAAAATAAATCCATACATTCACACTCAACTCATTTTCAACAAAGGTGCCAAGAACATATGCAAGGGGAAGGACGATCACTTCATTAAATGGCACTGGGAAAACTGGATATCCATGTGCAGAAGAATGAAACTAGACCCCATATCTCACCATGTACCAAAATCAAATCTAAATAGATTAAAAAACTTAAATCTAAAACCTCAATCTATGAAACTCTAAAAGAAAATATTGGGAAAAATCTACAAGACATTGGTCTGGGCAAAGATTTATTAAGCAATATCTCACAAGCACAGGTACCCAAGTAAAAATGGACAAATGGTATCACATCAAATTAAAAAGCTTCTGCACAGCAAAGAAGGCATTCAAGAAAGTGAGAAGACCACCCACACCATGGAAGAAAATATTTGCAAACTATCCATCAGAAAAATGATTTAATGACAAGAATACATAATAATCCCAATAAAACTCTATAGGGAATAGTCTAATTTAGAAGATGCGTGAAAGATCTGAATAGATATTTCTCAAAAGAAGACAGACAAATGGCAAAAGGTATATGAAAAGATATTCAACATCATTGATCAGATAAATGTAAATCAAAACTACATAATGAGAGACAACTTCACTGCAGGTCAATTTGCCTTTAACCAAAAGACTGGAAATAAAGAATGCTGTCAAACATGTAGAGAAAAGGGAACCCTTGTACACTGTTGGCAGAAATGTAAATTAGTACAACCTCTATGGATAACTGTATGGAGGCTCCTCAGAAAACTAAAAATGGAACCATCATATTACTTAGCAATCCCACTGCTAGGTAATTAGTCAAAAGTATGAAAATTAGTATATTGAAGAAATATCTGCACTCTCGTGTTTATTGCAGTGCTTTTCACAATAGCCAAGATTTGCAAGAAACCTATGAGTCCATCAACAGGTGAATGGATAAAGAAAATGTGGTACATGTACACAATGGGGTACTATTCAGCCATAAAAATTAATAAAATCTGTCATTTGCAGCATGGATTGAGGTGGAGAACATTATGTCAAGTGAAATAAGTCAGGCACAGAAAAGCAAACTGCATTTTTTCACTGATTTATGGGACTTAAAAATTAAAACAACTGAACTCATGGAGATAGAGAGTAGAATGATGGTTATCAAAGGCTGGGAATGGTAGTGGTGCAGAGTGGGAAAGTGGGGATGATTAATGAGTACAAAAATATAGTTAGAATTAATAAGATCTAGTATCTGATAGCACAATATAGTGACTATAGTCAAAAATAATTTATTGTACATTTTTAAATAACTAAAAGAGTATAATTGGAATGTTTGTAATGCATTCACCTCAAGATAAATGATTGAAGTGATAGATATCCCATTCGCCCTGACAGCATTATTACACATTGTATGCCTGTATCAAAGTATCCCATGAACCACAAAAATACACTATGTACCCATAAATATTAAAAATTAAAAAAAACTGTGCCAAGTGAAATAATCCAGACACAAAAGAACAAATATTGAGTAGTTCCTCTTACATAAGTTATTTAGAATAGGCAAGTTGATAAAGAAAAACTATGGGATTCCAAGGGTTGGGGAGAGAAGAAAATCCACACTTCCTTAATGAGTGAACATTTTCTGTTTTAGAAATAGATAACATCGATTGTTATGTAATATTGCGAATGGAATTTAAACCAAAGTTGCTACATCTACATTTCATGGCAATGGCTTCTTGTGAAATCACAGCTGTTTCATAGAATGTGCTCTTCCCCAGTCCCCCACCCACATGCAAGCTATGCAGAAAACTACAGTTTCAATGGGTGATGTTGGCAATGGAAACCAGTAGCTTTGCTTCCAGAGACAGTAAATATGATATTTTATGTTGAGGGTTGAGAGTGGGCAAAACACAAGTCTTGGTTAAGTAAAAGTTGTAAGCCAGGCGCGGTGGCTCACGTCTGTAATCCCAGCACTTTGGGAGGCTGAGGCGGGCAGATCACATGAGGTCGGGAGTTTGAGACCAGCCTGACCAACATGGAGAAACTCCGTCTCTACTAAAAAAAAAAATACAAAAAAAAAAAAAAGTTGTAGCAAAAGACATGGGAAACTTACAGTGTATTTAGACTGAGGCTGTTTAGTTTGGGGTTAAGAAGGAAACTAACCAGTAATTTACCAGGGATATATTGGGAAAACAGCTACAGAAGAACTAGAGAGTCTTCCCCAACCTCGGCTGTCTGGGCCATAGTGTGCAAAAACAGTACAGGCCAGGGTGAATGCTGTGGCACCTAAAACCAAGAGTGCAATGAGAATCATTTTAAATTTGAATGTGCTTTCCAACACCCACAAAAATCAATCATCATATAATGGAAGCCTTAGGGGTTTGACATGTTTCAGCAAAACCTATGTTCAAATAATTGGCTAAAAACCTGACTAAACAGACACAAGTGCAACCTATAAAAAGCCAGTTTAGAAGCTGAAAATAAGATATCAGCAGTCATAGTTCTCAGGAAACATTTCTCAGTTTAAGCCCAGACAAGTTAACATAGAGGTAAAAACATAAAAATAAAAATAAAAAAAGGCCGGACATGAGAGTGCATGCCTGTAATTCCAGCACTTTGGAAGGCTCAGGAGAGTGGATCTCTTGAGCCCAGGAGTTTGAAACCAGCCTGAGCAATGTGGCAAAACCCCATCTCTACAAAAAGTACAATTAGCCAGGTGTGGTGGCACACATCTTTAGTCCCAGCTACTCTGGGGGCTTAGGTGGGAGGATTGCTTGAGCTTGAGGTTGGAATGGAAATGTAAAAGTAAATCAAATTATTTAAAGATATGATAAATAGGGTCAGGTGCAGTGGTTCAAGCTTGTAACCTCAGCACTTTGGGAGGCTGAGATGGGTGGACAGCTTGAAGCCAGGAGTTCAGGAGCAGCCTGGCCAACATGGTTAAGCTCTGTCTCTACTAAAAATACAACAAACAGACAGGCGTGGTGGTGTGCTCCTGTAGTGCCAGCTACTCAGGAGCACTACAGGCTGAGGCCTGTAGTCCCAGCTACTAGGGAGTCTGAGGCAGGAGAACCACTTGAACCTGGGATGAGGAGGTTGTAGTGAGCCGAGATTGTGCCAGTGCACTCCAGCCTGTGTGACAGAGTGAGGCTCCAAATCAAAAAAGAAAAAAAAAAAAATATATATATATATATGAGATAAATAAAATTAACAAAAGCAAACCAAATATCCACTTGAGGACATAAACCTACTAAATGTCATGAGGACATAAACCTATTAAAGAGTATCAAGCTTGGGTATTTCTATAAATAAATAATGATAGCTAAGGAGAAGAAACATAACTTTATCATAAATATGTCCTTTGGATTAAATGGCACACACCTCGAGCCTAAAACATTGTCTATAGAGTCAATAAGGGACAGTGATGGTTGTCTGACTGCTGCCCCAATATGAAATGGAAAAGCATCCTGAACACAAAGCTAAAATCAGTATGACTATTTATTTCAATTATGAAATTTTAGTGTGAAGTCATAAATCTATTAGTTATACCAAATTGGATATCAGACCATTACAAAGAGTATAATGAAAGACTTAGACTTTATTTTTCTAAATAGTCCCACCTCTCATGTAGATTGAATTTAAGATAATATTTCTGTGTTTGATATATTATTAAAAATTAAAGGTTCCAGCTTCATATTATTATTATCTTTAATATCTTCAGCATCTTACATTTACCTTATCCCTGGCCTCCATAACATACTATAAGCTGAAATAGAAAATGTAGTTATTCTCTTTTAAAATAATGTTTTATGTCAGGTCCTTCTTTCTCTATATCTCATTCTATCTCATTTTCACATATACATACACGATCATGCACAACACACAATGGCCTACATCCTGACTTCAAGTTACATAATGCTTGAGATGAATAATAGCACATTTTATTACTTGCTATAAAATTTAAATGTAAAAATTACTAATGTTTTCTTTTTATCTAAGTCATTTGTGAAATGTTAATAAATATCATAGGTCTTAGTTGGATACATCTAACAGTTAAAAGAACATTTCTACTGTGCTTGCCTTTACAGATGAAATAATTGGTAGTTCTGTTCATATTTTACTATTGAAAATTATATTTCCATTAGCTACTTCACATAGCATCTATTTTATTCATTTTCAGGTTCCTGTCTGTATAAAACCCTTAGTTGTTAGTATTTCACAGATGAATTTATTTATCGTGGTAAAACACATAAAAAATTTACCATTTCAAACATTCTTAAGTGTAAAATTCAGTGGATCTAAGTACATTCACATTCACTTCATCAACTGAGGCTTTGTATCCATGAAACAACAATTTCTCACCCCTCCTTCCCTCAGCGCCTGGCAAAGGCATTCAACTTCCTGAGTCTAAAACGTTGAGTATTTTAGGTACCTCATATTAATAGAATTATATTGTCATTTTGTAACTGGCTTTTTTCACATGGCATGTCTTCAGGATGCATCCATATTCTAGCATGTGTCAGAATCTCTTTTTCTTTAAAGGCTGAATAATAGTCCATTATTTGTATATATCACATCTTATTTATTTATCAATTGACATGGGTTGCTTCTATCTTTTGACTATTCTGAATAACGCTGATATTAACATGGGTGTAGATGAATTTCATTTTGTTTTTAAATTGAAGAAATACTTACTAAAAATAAAAATTTATTTTAGAGATGGCTTAATTCACAATCATCTTTTTCTTTTCTTGACATTTTCCCTGGCAGGTGGTTATAAAAGTTGACAAACAATTATCATAATAACTTCTTAATTAGACTCTTTTCACAAACATATTTAAGAAAAGTAACACATTTTAAGAGACTCAAAATGTATCAATGCTTTTGTATTGTGTATATGCTGAAGTTGGGATAATTTATTTTTAATACACCCTGCACAAGAAGTTTCTCTATTTAAACAGTATCACATACATTTAATAATATATTTTATGTGTGGTATCTTTATATACATGTATGCATGTTTATATATGATTATGTATGCTTGTATGTGTATAAATACACATACACACAGACATAGATACCTGTGTGTGTGTGTGTAGTGTGTTTGTGTTCAAGTATTCAGAGCCTGGTGAATTAATCATTTATAACTTGAACTTCTAATAAGGAAATGGGAAACAGAGGGTATTTGTTTATGTCATGTATTTAGAAGTGAAAATTAACTCTTGTAGGGCTTGCACATCTTAGATGGATAGCACAAGGTCCCCCAAAAATGCTATATGATACACCTAACTTTAGGGGTAGGCAGTTATAAGGAAAGCAATTTTTTTTTCAATGTATTGATGTAAAGGGATATCTTATAATTATGTACTAAAAAAGTGTGTGTGTGTGTGTGTGTGTGTGTACTCATGCATGATTATACGGACATAGAAATGACAGCTTGTTAACACAAATACAGAAAAGGGAAGGAGAAATAACAATGTCAGTAGTTTGATAGAGACAGGGATGTTAATGCAAACCCAAGAGGAATAAAAAGATAACACCAAAAATTGCAGTTTATAATATATGGCCTATTTTGTGTATTTCCAAAAAATATGAAAATTATTTTAAAAGCCAAACATAGGATTAAAGAATGATGGTGATACAATTTCTTTCATAATGACAAAATAAACAGGCAGGTAAAAAGGTTGAAAGTTGTTGCTCTTGTACTCATAACAAGAAAGAACTCAACAAACAGAAAATTGACAATTATTATTAGAGCTATCAGAAAATTGAAGTCATAGGGCAATTTTCTGCACCCCAAACTTGAGACACAGACAGACAGATACAAAGAATCACAGCTTGCTGGAACAGAAACTCAAGAGCAACAGTCCACTGCTGAACCTAGTAAGGTGGTAGAAAAACATAAACTATAATCAATGAAATGCTAGAGGCTTAATGTGGAAAAGCTTGAGAGTTAAAAACTCTGGGGAAGAAGAGTATCGGGAGGGTACACAATCATGAGTCTTACCTGCAGGAACCTTCAAGGTTCTCAAGACAAGATCAGAGAAAAATCCCCTCATGCTTTAGGCAGGATGTATTTTTAAATACACCTAGAGCATTTATTTATCCTTATGAAGGCCAGCTGTCAAGTGAAACTACTTTACTGTAGTAGAAACTGACCAACCTGGGGAAGGGAAATGCCTAACTCCAGCCCATTTTAGTCTTCCATATGTGGGGAGAGAAATGCCCAATTACACTTTCCTCTAGCCTTATCTCACCTGTGTTGGATGTCATAGTTCCAACACAGCTGTGTTGTGCAGGTTACAGCCCAGGGGTACAGGCTTACTAAAACAGTAAGACATAACCATAAGACTATAAATCACTTTCTCTACCCCCATGCCTTACTACCAAATCAGTAGGGCTACTATATAATAGCAGAGGGGTAGAAGAAAAATAATTGCACACCTCAGATCTTTTTAAAGGCTGACAGAGAAACTCAAAGACAGCAAGGGAGACAAAAACAAGGCACAGGAGGATATTTTAGCATCTGACACCTGCAGCTGGATGTAACAGAGAAGAGTTTAATCCCTAGCCCAATAAACATGAAACCTCATACTAAAGGCCAATCTACCTCAGTTTCTCCTACACAATACCTCATGTATGGCTTTGTACAAAAAATTACATCATGCTAAAATACAAAAAAAAAGTTTGAAATGAGGAAGTAATCATGAGAACCAGACCCAGATATGGCAGGAATTTTCAAATTATCAGACCAGGAATTTAGAACAGTTATGATTAATACTTTGAGGGATTTAATGGAAAAAGTAAATAACTTGCATGAACATATCAGTGATATCCACAGATAGATGGAAACATTGAAAAAGAATCAAAACGAGATGCAAGAAACCCAAAGTGCCTTTTATGGGCTCTTCAATATAATGAACACAACCAAGTTGAAGTAAACATGAAGACATGGCAATAACTAAACCGCAAAAAGAAAAAAGAATAAAGAAAAGTAAAACAGAATATACAAGAGCAATGGTACTATTATTAAAGGTGTAAAATAAACAAATATCAGAAGTATAAGACAGAGATAAAGAAACTGAAGAAATATTTAAAGCATAGTAACGAATAATTTTTTAAAATTAAGGTCACCTGCCAAACCACAGATATAGGACATTCAGAAAACACTAAGCAGAAGAAATATAAAAGTCTAAATGTAGACATATCATGTTCAAACTGCAGAAAATCAAAGACAGAATAAATCTTGAAAAAAGCCAGAGGAAGCAAAACACCTTACCTAAAAGGAGCAAAGAATAGAACTACATTGGACTTTCCTTTTGTTCAACATGTATATATGATTTCCTATCCATAAACATAAACACACAAAATATTCCAATCACAGTTATCTGCATCTATGTGTATATCTGTGTATATGAGCATAAAATAAGTTACAACAGGTTGAAATTTTAGTCTGTTAACATTGTTTACCACAAAGATTGGGAGTGAAAAACAATTTAAGAGTGGAGGATAGTGGAAACTGTGAAGACTATTACATTTTTTTCCTTCAAAACTTTTTGTTTCTAAATTCTTAAAATAAGATTTTATTTTTTAAAATTTTGAAATCAAGCAAATGAAAATGAATTACATACCAGAAAATTTGGCAATATGATCTAAACCTGTTTCCCTTGAAACACAAAGAGAACATTAGCGTTGTAGAATATATTGTTATTATTATTGTTGCTATTATCATTATTATAAGCATTTTTTGATATTTTTCCTACTAACTATTTTTATTACTTCGGGTTTTTTGTTGTTTTTTTACACTCTTCATTTGCTTTATTCTGCTTGAAGTTTTTATATTTGAAGAGGATGTTTGTCAGGTATCTTCCCCCCCGCTTTTTTTTTAGAGAATATACATTTTTTATTTCAAAAGGTTTTTGAAAAACAGGTAGTGTTTCCTTACATGCATAAGTTATTTAGTGGTGATTTCTAAGATTTTGGTTCACTCCATCCCTGAGCAGTGTACACTGAACCTAATGTGCAGACTTTTATCTCACCCACCTCCCGCTCTTCCCCTTGAGTCCCCAAAGTCCATTACATCATTTTTTGTGTCTTTGTGTCCTCATAAGCTCCCACTTACAAGTGAGAACATATAATATTTGATTTTCTATTTCTGAAAAATGTTCCAGAAACAAAGGCAGTTAACTAAACCTATATTATACCGCTTTCAAACTCCTAAAGGCATTAAAAAAAGATAAGAGCAAAAAAAACCCATTCCAAGGAAAGCAACTTCAAAGGCTAAAGAAATAGCCCACACAGATAAAAAAAGAACCAGCATAAGAGCTATGGCAACTCAAAAAATGAGAGCATCTTCTTACCTCCAAACAATTGCATTAGTTCTCCAGCAATAATTCTTAACCAGACTGAAATGGCTGAAATTACGGAAATATAATTTAGAATATGAAAATAAAGGAAGATCACCAAGATTCAGAACAAAGTTAAAACCCAATCAAAGGAATGTAAGGAATACAATAAAATGATGCAGTAGCTGAAAAATGAAATGGCAATTTTAAGAAAGAACCAAACTAATGTGATATAGCTAAAAAACTCACTTCAAGAATTTCGTAATACAATGTCAATTATTAACAGCAGACTCATTCAAGCTGAGGAACGTACATCAGAGCTCAAAGACTAGTTATCTGAAATAATAAGACAAAAAGACAAAAGAATAAAAAATAATGAACAATCTACTGAGAAATATGGGATTATGTAAAGTCACCAAAACTACAACTCATGGGTATCCCTGAAAGAGAGAGAGAGAAAGGAAGTAACTTGAAAAACATATTTGAGAATATCATAGATGAAAATTTCCCCAACCTTGCTAGAAAGGCTAACATTCAAAGTCAGGAAATGTAGAATATCCCTGCAAGACACATACAAAATGATTATTTCCAAGCACAGAGTCATCAGATTCTCTAAGGTTGAAATGAAATAAAAAGGTAAAAGACAACTAGAGAATAATGGCAGATTACCTACAGAGGCAACCCCATTAGGCTAACAGTGAACCTTTCACCAGAAACACTGTGAGCCAAAAGAGATTTAAAGGCCAATATTTAGCACTCTTGAAGAAAAGAAATTACAACCAACAATTTTGTGTCCAGTAAACTAAGCTTCATAAGTTAAGGAGAAAAAAGATCCCTTTCAGATAAACAGATGCTAAGATAATTCATTACCATCAAATCTACCTTACAGGAGTTCCTTAAGGGAGTATTAAATATGGAAATGGCCATTACTGGCCCCCACAACAGCACATTTAAACATAGATCTTTGACACTACTAAGCAACTACACAATTAAGTCTGCACAATAACCAGCTAACAATACAATGACAGGATCAAATCTCCAGATATCAACCTGAATAAAAATGTGCTAAATTCCCAATTAAAATATTTGAACAGACTATCAAGTTGGATAAAGAAGTGAGAGCCAACTATATGCAGTCTTTCAGAAACCTATTTCACATGAAATGACACCCACTAGTTCAAAGTAAAGGGATAGTGAAAAAAATCTACCAAGCAAACGGAAAACAGGGAAAAGCAGAGGTTACTCTTCTTATTTAAGACTAAACAGACTTTAAACCAAGAACAATCAAAAAAGACAAAGAAGGGTACATATTGATAAAGTGTTCAATTCAACAAGAAGGTCCAACTATTCTAAGTATATGTGCACCCAACATAGGAGCATCCATATTCATAAAACAAGGTCTTAGATATCTACAGATATACTTACACAATAATAGAAGAAGACTTCAACTTCACAGCAACAGTATTAGATTATCAAGGCAGAAAACTAACAAAGATATTTGGGTTTGAACTTCACACTTGACCAAATGGATCTAATGGACATCTATAGAACTCTCCACCCCTTGAAACAGAATATACATTCTTCCCATCTTGTCATAGCACATACTCTAAAACTGACCACACAATTGGTGATAAAACCATTATCATCAAATAGAAAAAGCAAAAACAATAAATAAATAAATCATATAATCCAAGCTCTCAAACATCAGGTCAGTAAAAATAGAAATCAGTACCTTAAAGAAATGCTGAAAACCATACAATTACATGGAAACTAAACACCCTGCTCCTTAATGGCTTTAAGTAAACAAAATAATTAAGGCAGAAATCAAGAAATTCTTTGAAACTAATGAGAACAAAGATTCAACATACAAGAATCCCTGGGATGCTGCTAAAACAGTGTTAAGAGGGAAATTCATAGCACTAAATGCTCACATAACCAAGTTAGAAAAATCTCAAATTAGCAACCTCACATCATATCAAGAAGAAACGTGAGAATAAAAGCAAACCAATACTAAAGCTATCTTAAGACTAGATAAGCAAAATAACAAAAATTTGAGCTGAACTGAAGAAAATTGAGATAAAAAAATACAAAAGATCAACTAATTCAGGAGATTGTTTATTGAAAGAATAAGATTTATAGATCAGTAGCTAGACTAATAAAGAAAAAGAGAAGATTCAAATGAACACAATCAGAAAAACAAAGGGGGATATTACCACTGACCCCAGAGAAATAAAAAAAAAAAACAACCTCAGAGACTACTATGAACATCTCTGGCACACAAATTAGAAAACCTAAAGAATTAGACAAATTCTTAGAAACATACAACTTCCCACAATTGAACCAGGAAGAAATTGAATACCTGAACAGACCAATAATAACTTTCAAAATTGAATTAGTAATAAAAAGCCTACCAACCAAAAAAAAAGCCCAAGACCAGAGGGATTCACAGACAAATTATACCAGATATTTCAGGAGGAGCTGCTATCATTCTTACTAAAACAATTCCAAAAAATCAAGGAGGGGGGACTTCTTTGTAACTCATTATATAATGATATCATTATTCTGATACCAAAACCTGATAGAAGACATTAGGCCAATATCATTGATGAACATAGTTGTAAAAATCCTCAACAAAATTCTAGCAAACTCGATCCAGCAGTATATCAAAAAGCTAGTACTCCATGATCAAGTAGACTTATTCCTGGAATGAAAGATTGGTTCAACACATGCAAAATAATGAGACACATCACATAAACGGAACTAAAAACTAAAAAACACATGATTATCTGAATAAGTACAGAAAAGGCTTTTAATAAAATTCAACATCACTTTATGTTAAAAACCATAAAAAAACTTGTCTTTGAAGGAACATAGCTCAAAATAATAAGAATTATCTATGACATACCAACAGCCAACATCATGGGCACAAGCTAGATGCATTCTCCTCAAGAATAGGCAAAAGCTGGATACATTCTTTTTGAGAACTGAAACACGATAAAGATGCCCACTCTCACCACTCCTATTTAACATAGTACTGGAAGTTCTGGCCAGAGCAATTAATCGATAAATAAAAATAAAAGACATCCAAATAGGAAGTGAGGATGTCAAACTAACCCTGTTTGCACTGGGCATTGAAAAACTGGTCAATATCACTAATTACTACAGAAATGCACATCAAAACCACAAATGAGATACCATCTCACACTAATAAAATGGCTGTTATAAAAAGTCAAAATATATTAATAGCAGATGTTAATAAGTTGCAGAAAAAAGGGAATGCTTATACACTGCTGATAGAAATGTGAATTAAGTTCAGCCATTGTGAAAAACAGCTTGTCAATTTCTCAAAAAACTTAAAACAGAACTACCATTTGACTCAGCAATCTCATTATTGGGTATATTCCCAAATGAATATAAATCACTCTATCATAAAGACATATGCATGTACATATTCATCATAGCAGTATTCAAAATAGCAAAGACATGAAATCAACCTAAATGTACATCAACAGTAGACTGAATAAAGAAAATATATGTGTACGCCATGGAATAGTAAACCACCATAAAAAAGAATGAAATCATGGTCTTTGCAGCAATATAGATGAAGTAGGAGTCCATTATTCTAATCAAACTAACACAGGAATAGAAAGTAAAATACCACATATTCTCACTTATGAGTGGGAGCTGAACACTACGAACTCATGAACACAAAGAATGAAACAACAGGCACCAGGGCCTACTTGAAAGTGGAGGGTGGGAGGAGGGTAATTATCTGAATATTACCTGTCAGATACTATGCTTATTACCTGGGTAACAAAATAAGCTGCACACCAAACCCCCATGACATGCAATTTTCCTATAAAACAAACATGCACATGTACCCCTGAAACTAAAATAAATGTTTTTAAAAATATGTATATGTATGTATATGTATATTTATTTAAAAATTTTTTAAATATAGTATATGGGCTAGCTTCAAATAGATTGAAACATGGCTAAATTCTCTTTGAACTTGTTTCCTCCTTCCTTGCAAAATGTGGGTAATCTTAGGCTAAGGAAAGTTTATATGTGACATTTTAGAAGTTGATGTAGTGATTGGTGAACAATATTACTGTGTTTAGAAGAGATCTGTCATAGCTTTCTTTTCTCTTAATTGAAATTTAAAAACATAGAGGAATAAAAACAATTTACATTTCAAAATAAATTTTAAAAATATGGCTATTTAAAAGATAATTCTTATTAAATGTAATTATGTCATAATTACTTTTACCTGGAAATGTTACATAGAAATTTATATTAGAATAAATAATATTTTTGTTTGATAAAAAAGAAAAACATTCTAATTAGAATTTGTTTTTGTTCTTAAAGAACATAATTGTGAGCCAAGCACGGTGGCTAAAGCCTGTAATCCCAGCACTTTGGGAGGCCGAGGTGGGTGGATCATGAGGTTAGGAGATTTAGATCATCCTGGCTAACATGGTGAAACCCCGTCTCTACTAAAAATACAAAAAAATTAGCAGGGCATGGTGGTACATGCCTGTAATCCTCAGCTACTCAGGAGAATCGTTTGAAGCTGGGAGGCAGAGGTTGCAGTGAACTGAGACAGTAACACTGCACTTCAGCCTGGGGGACAGAGCGAGACTCTATCTCAATAAAAAAAGAAAAAAAAAGTATATAATTGTGTAGGTAGAAAACTCCAATAGAATAATTAAAAAGCTACCAGAATTAAAAATAAATTTTGAAATATTGCCTTAAAAACACAAAGCAAAAAAAATTAAATACCAGCAACAAAGAATTGGAACATAACATTTTAAACATAAATTTCATAAAAACACCAAAATAATGAATTCTTAGAGGTATAATTAACAAAATGGTGACAATTTCTCTATTTCAAGAATAAAAAGCATGCTTAGGATTAATTAAACAGGATATACCGTACTCATAATTGGAAGAATTGACATTGTTAATATTATTTAACCCTCAATTACACTGCACTCAGTGTAGTCCCAATCAAAATGCTCATAGGGTATTTTGTAGAAATTAGCATGATAGATCTAAAATTATGAGGGTATGCAAAGGAACTAAATTATGAACCTTTTGTAATAACTAGAAATCAGGTGGAAGATTGTCACATTATCATAAGGCTAACATTCACATTATCATAAGGCTAACAATTGAAGGCAGTGGCATTCCATTTTGAGCAGTTGCTGTGAAGACACCAGCTGCAGTGTGAGAGTGGCAGGCAGGACTGTATGCTCCACAGAGCTGGTGGGAGTCAGGAACAGGTGGGAGCCATGTCCCCTTCTGAGTTGAATAGATGGGAGCCCTGCCCTCCTGGGCACAGCTGCAACTACGTAGTTGAGGCTGCCAACCCGAACATCTCTGTGCTCTTGGGGGCCCAGAAATCCCTCATCCCCACAGGCTCAGAAGGCAATAGGGAAAATGTTTCCAGGGCATGTCAGAGACTTTCATGGCAGCTGCTCTCATTACAGGCCCAGGGACTAAGATAAAAAACTAGTATTTTGGGGCTGGCCCAGAGCACCCCTAGAGACTTTGTTCCTTGTGTCCCAGCTGCTCCAGCCATGGCTAAAAAAGGCCAAGGTACAGTTCAGGCCACGGCTCTAGAGGGTGCAAGCCCCAAGCCTTGGTAGCTTCCATCCTTCCTGCAGGTGCACAGAAGTGAAGAATTGAGGTTTGGGAATCTCTGCCTAGATTTCACAGGATGTATGGAAATGTCTGGATGTCCATGCTGAAGTGTCCTGCAGGAGTGGAGTCCCCATGGAGAACCTCTGCCAGGGCACTGCAGTACAGAAATGTGGGGTTGAAATCCCCACACAGAGTCCCCACTGGGGCACTGCCTACTGGACCTGTGAGTAGAGGGCTACCATCTTCCAGATCTCGGAATGGGAGATCCACTGTCAGTGTGCACCAGGTACCTGGAAAGCTTCAGGCACACACCAGCCCATGAAAGCAGCCAGGAGGGTAGGTATACCCTGCAAATCCACAGGGGTGGAACTGACCAAGCCTGTGGAAGTCTAGCTCTTGAATCAGCATGACTTGGATATGAAACATGGTATCAAAGGAAATTATTCTGGAGCTGTCAGATTTATCTGCCTTGCTAGATTTCAGATTTGCATGGGGCCTGTAGCCCCTTCATTTTTGCCAATTTCTTCCATTTGGAATGGGTGCATTTACTCAATGCCTGTACCTCCATTGTATCTGAGAAGTAACTAACCTGCTTTTGATTTTACAGGTTTGTAGGCAAAATGTTATTGCCTTGTCTCAGATGAGACTTTGAACTGTAGACTTTTGAGTTAATTCTGAAATTAGTTAAGACTTTGGGGGACTGTTGGGAAGGCATGATTGGTTTTGAAATATGAGGATATTAGAATTGGAAGGGATCAGGGACAGAATGATATGGTTTGGCTCTGTCCCACCCAAATCTCATCTTGAATTTTAGCTTCCATAATTCCCATGGTTTGTGGGAGGTAACTGAATCATGGGTGAAGGTCTTTGTCATGCAGTTCTAGTGATAGTAAATAAGTCTAACAATATCTGATGGTTTTATAAAGGGGAGTTTCCCTTCACATTCTCTCTTGCCTGCCATCATGTGAGATGTGACTCTGCTCCTCATTCGCCTTCTGCCATGATTGTGAGGCCTCCCCAGCCATGTGGAACTGTGAGTCAATTAAATCTCTTTCCTTTATAAATTTGACAGTGTCAGGTATGTCTTTATTAGGAGCATGAGAAGAAACTAATATAACTATGTGTCATCTTGGTAAAGTTTTTGGGAAATTAATTAGCAAAGTATTTTAGAGAAAAAATTGTTTATTAGTTCCTGTGTCTTCCATAACAAATTACAACAAAGTTATTGATTTAAAACAAGAAATGTATTATTTCACAGTTCTAGAGGACAATGTCCAAAATCATTTTTATTGGGTTGAAATAAAAGTGTAAGCAGGGTGACATTCCCCCAGGATTCCCTAGAAGTGAGTGAATTTCTTGTCTCTTCCAGCTTCTGATGACTGCCTGCATTCCTTGGTTGTGGACACACCATTTCAATTTCTGCCTACTGACCCCAAGGACTTCCCATCTTGTATGGAATGTGTTCAATCTCCTTCTATCTATAATTGCACTTAGTTATGCCCACCCAGGAAATCCAGTTAATTTTCTTTTTTTAAAATCTCTGTTTATTCCCATCGGGAAAGATAATTTTTTCTTATAAAATAATTTATACATTACAGGTACCTGGACTTAATATATTTGAGAGTCAAGCATTTTGCTTACCACAATTGATAGAATATTTTAAATAGAGGATTGCAAGCTATTTTGGTATATTTCATAGGGTCAGTTTTCTTCACAGATATTTCTAGCTTTTCTCCTTTTAGGTACTTAATATGTTTATCTTTCCCTAGGCAGCTAAAGTTGGACACATTCAAATTACATTTTTGTCAATGGTGTGTGTGTTCCTAGTGTGATTCATCACATTTTTTTTTATCATCTACTGCACTGACCAGTAATTGTAAAATTGAAGAGGCTCAGCCAACCTGAGGGAGTCAATGACAATGAGAGAATCTGAAACACACTTTGTTATCCAGAATTAGAAATGTTACATAATTTGAACCTATCTGCTTCATTGACTTTTCAGCTATAATTTTTGCATTACATTTATTTTTTCCCTAGGGATTTCAATATGTATTTTTAACTTATTAAAACATACTTTTAGTTAATATTGTATCCGTTTATATGTAATGTAAGTGCCTAATGACTACTTGTTATTTTTCATTTCCTCTCATAGATGCTATGGTTTTCATAAATATTATAAGTACATATATTATAAATCCTATAATATAGTATTATCAGTTTCTCTTTACATAGCCATATATTATAAAAAAATTAAAAGTAATAAAATATTACTGTATATTTACCAAAATATTTGCTATTACTGCAGTCTTCAGTGATTCATGAAGAATTGAGTTTCCATTTTACGTCAATGCTCTTTAGACTCAAAGACTCCCTTCATATTTTCTGTATTCAGGTGTATTAGAAATAAACACTTTTTATTCTTATTTTCATGCTTTATTTTTTACTCAATCTTCATTTTTAAATTACTTTTTTGGACTATATATATTTTTGGTTGATATTTTTATCAGAAATGTAAGTATGTTGTCTTTTTTTTGGCTTTTGTTTTTGACGATGAGTAAGCTATAATTACCCTGTTTCTTCCTTATTATACAAGATGTCCTTTTTCTTTTAAGCTTTTCTCCTTAACTTTGGTTTTCAAAAATTTGACTATGATTACCTAGTGGACTTATCCTTTTTTGTCTTTGCTGAGATTCTTGCATATATTAGTTTATGGGTTTTTTTGGTTTTTTTTGTTTGTTTGTTTTTTGACGGAGTCTTGCTCTGTTGCCAGGCTGGAATCCAGTGGCGCAATCTTGGCTCACTGCAGTCTCCACCTCCCGGGTTCTAGCGATTATCCTGCCTCAGTCTCCTGCGTAGCTGGGATTACAGGTGCATGTCATCACACTCAGCTAATTTTTTGTATTTTTAGTAGAGACGGGGTTTCACCATGTTGGTCAGGATCGTCTCAATCTCCTGACCTCGTGATCCGCCCACCTCAGCGTCCCAAAGTGCTGGGATTACAGGTGTGGGCCACCGCACCCGGCCTTAGTTTATGTTCTTAAACAAATATGTAAAGTGTTTAATCATTATTTGCTCAAATATATGATTGCACTTTTTCTATTTCTGAGTTTTAAATTTTATGCTGTTTGATACTTAATATTATTCAATGGTTTATTGAGGTCTGGTTTTTTTCTTAAATGTTTCCTCTCCTTGATATAGAGATTGAATAATTTCTACTGATAAATCCCAGATTAAACATTTCTTTTGCCATTTCAAATATAATCTTACTTCCATCTATTGTAGTTTTCACTCCAAGTATTGTGCATTTCAGTTCTAAAATTTATTTGCTTATGTTTATAGCTTAATTTCCTACAATTTGATGTATATTCATTCATTATAATAACCATATTTTCTTTAAGTCCTTGAACATATTTGTGATAGCCACTTCAAATGTTTTATCTGCTACCATCAATGACTGGGTTATCTTAGAGCTGGTTTTTACTAACAATTTTATTTTCTAATTATGTATCACATTTTTCTGCTCCTCAGCATGTCTAGTAAATTATAATTGTGTTCTGGACATTTGGAAAAGTAGAAATTCTAGATTTTATCATCATTTTCTAAGGAATCTCAAGGGTTTGGGGGGTCTTGTTTTGTTTTGTTTTTACAGTCAAGAAGTAAATTTACTAATGGGTGAAGCTGATCCTGCTGAAGCTTGATTTGTAATTAATTAATTTTTTTAGTGAGTCACGAGATGCCTTAACTTTACGACTTAGAACAACACTTCTCTAAAAATGTAGCTTGTCTGTGCAATAATCTAAGAACCCAAGATATTCTGGGACAGCCTTCCTCTACCGTTCATCAGAATTCCTAAAACTTACAGTTCTACGTATTCTCTTAAATCTTTCTACAAATCACATATCTCCTTTCCTTTTTGTTTAATGTAATTTGGTTTCATTTATATAACTGTTTATCTTTCTTTATATGTGCCACTTCCCATTTCCCTCATTCTATTTTAGGACTCCCAACTGTCTTAACTATAGTTAACTTAGCTCATTTATATTTGCTTTCTGCCTTGTGGTGAGTTTTCCTTCATAATTTCATGTGCTGACTAAAGATTTATTTTTAGATTTAAAAATGTTCTTGTACTATCATAGATTAAAATACTTTTATACAGTGCGTGACATCAGAAAGGCGGCAAGGTAGAAAGCTTCTAGTCTTTGCTCTGCCACAGAAACACTGGATAAACAACATTAACAACCAGAATAGCATTGTGAGAAATCTTGTAACAAGTTAAGAAGCTGTAGAAAACAAGCAAACTTTTGCTTGTCATTGTCTCACTTCCTTTTCAATGGAATGCCTACAAGAAATGCTAAAGTGAGTTCTATCACTTAAAATCTCTAAATGTTATTTGAGTTTAGATTTTTCATTCCCATAGAATGATTGTTTATTTGACATTTGAACATTCTTAATACTTCTGTAAAGTATCAAGACTTACAGTAAGATATACGTATCTATACAAATGTAAGTAAATAGCTACATGTGTGCATGTGTGTATATGTGTAATTATTTTATTTTTAGCATTGTACTGTTTTTGAATCACTCATGTCCTATTGGTAAATCTGATAATATTTATTGTGATTTGATATTTTCACATTCTACTTAAGACTAAGAAAATGTACATGTTTAAGAAAGGATAAAGAAATTTCTTTCTTAGAATAGTAAGGTAATTTATTTTCTTACCTGAAAAAACAAAAATATACAAAGTTGTTTGTTTATTCTTATTTATAAAAATTGTTGTCATTGCATACCTCATATCACTTTTAGTAAGAAATCAGACTTAAAAATACTTACGTATATTTCATTTTTATATTAACCTAAATCTGTCTTTACAGTTTCTTACAGTTGTCATTTCAACTTAATTAACGCATTACTTTATTCTTTTGCAAACCAGCCCACACATTCCCAGAAATATGAAGTTTTTGTGAAATGCAAATCAAAAAGTATACAATGAAAAGTGCTTTCATCATACCACTTAAAATGGCTTATTAAATTTTTGATAGATATTGTAGGAAAAGGTATGCAGTTTTTTAGCATGGCCTTTAGATCTGTTGCTTAATACATCATTTATAGAAATTTAATTCTTTCTGATATCTACGTTATACATTTATACACATATGGGAATTGTTTTACGTTGTAATTTTTCTGAAAATCATCCTAATCATGTTTGTTTAATATTTTTTCTTCATATTCCAACATAAAACATGTGAAGCTTCTGTTACAAGAGTGAAGTCCTTGGTCTTTTACTCTCTCACACTTTTTAAAATATCGCTATATAAGGATGTCAATCATAATTTAAAATTCCTTTTCTAAATATAGTTGTATTTCATTAATATTTACTGAATTTATAATTATGTCCTTTCATGCAAATGTTTGATACTAGATCTTTGGGAATATTTAGTACACATAAACAATAAGTATGTTACATTTTGGCAGTATACTATCAGAATTTTTATTTGTTAGAGTTTATAATTAGAAACAAGTTTCTATGTTTTTATTCTGTGCAAACTGTATTCCATATGACTATAGATTGTCAATATTGAATCTTCTGTCTAAGTAGACAGCACTTGCTATTGCCATGCAGAGACAGAAAGTTTAAGTTAAATATCTAACTATCTATAGTAGCTCACTATATTGATAATTATTTAGACCATTGCATATATAAGACAGTCATTATGTTCACAAAATAAGTGGCTGAATAATTTTATTTCTAGCGTTTCCTCTAGTATTAATATTTTAACTTTGTAATTTTAAATATATGTTCATAATAAACTTCTACAAGGAATCAAAAGGAAATTTAAAAATAACATCTGTAAACTACTACTACTCATCCATGTTAATTACATCTACACTTGAATATGGCTTTATAAATTCAAAACATTATACCTATAACAAAATGTATGATAGTTTTTAACAACAAAGTTTCTATCAATCATGCAAAGTTTTTGTTGTTGTTTTGTTGTAGCATAGCAGAGAAGGCACATCACAATATATATTTTCATTATAATAAACACTTCATTGGTCTTATTATTGAATCTTCTGTGCCCATTCCATTCACAAGGGTAATAATTTAAGACAATTTTGGAAATTTTATTCTCTTGCCAGTAATTGATTTATGCAGAGATGTGGAATTTTCATATTTGTGTTATCTAGAATTATTGTATCTATATTATCCTTACTATGGGAAGCATCTGAAAACAAAACTTATACACGGAATGCCAGTGCAAAGATAGAAGGGACATGACATCGTTGAATCACTGAATTGTTCATCAGTCAGATGTTTGCAGTGCAGCTTATGTGATAAAACATATCTGGCCGGGCGTGGTGGCTCACGCCTGTAATCCCAGCACTTCGGGAGGTCAAGGCAGGAGGATCACGAGGTCAGGAGATCGAGACCATCCTGGTTAACACGGTGAAACCCCATCTCTACTAAAAATACAAAAAATTAGCCGGGCAAGGTGGTGGGCACCTGTAGTCCCAGCTACTCGGGAGGCTGAGGGAGGAGAATGGCGTGAACCTGGGAGGCGGAGGTTGCAGTGAGCCAAGATGGCGCCACTGCACTCCAGGCTGGGCGACAGAGCGAGACTCCATCTCAAAAAATAAATAAATAAATATATCTAATTACTATTTAAATGTATTAAATTCAGTGGGGTTTTTTGTTGTTGTTGTTAATTGTGGCTTACATCATGTTAACACATTTAAGCCCTCTGTTCTTCAGAGGCAAGAGTTACAGGTAGCTTCAACATGTTAAAGTTTTATATCAGTCATTCTTTAAAATTTATTTATTTATTTATTTATTTTGAGATGGAGTCTCACTTATTCTGTTGCCAAGGCTGGAGTGCAGTGCTGCGTTCTCAGCTCACTGCAACGTCTGCCTCCTCGGTTCAAGTGATTCTCCAATCTCAGTCCCCCAATCAGCTGGGACCACAGGTGCACGCCACCAAGCCCAGTAATTTTTATATTTTCAGTAAAGATGGAGTTTCACCATGTTGGTGATGCTGGTATTTACATTTCAAATTCAGTTTATTTATATGTAAAAGCTAAATGTAAACAAAGAAAAATAGTCAACCTTAGATTTGTTATGAAATTCAATTATTGTTAAAGGTTTGTGTAATATGAAGAGTGTATCAAGCTAATTTTGAACAGTATGTGAAGGAAAAAATTTGAACCCTATTTGTTTAAGCTGAAGATGACAAAAACAAAATTTCACCCTATTTCCACTTAATTTTTAAATAAATTAGGCAAAAAAGTAAATGCTTAGTCCAATCAATAAGAGGAGACTGATTCAGAAGAGATGTAACCAGTAACACATCTCAATCTCAAGAATGCAATAGAAAAATTGATAGTGATGGAAGTGCTCAGCAAAAACAAAACTATGCAAATGTAATAGAGTTATCAAAGATTAAAGTAATTCTGGTCTGTTATGGAATGAATGTTTGCATTTCCTCCTCCCAAATTCATATGTTGAAACCCTAATCTCCAATGGGATAGTATTGGAAAATGAGGACTTTGGGATGTAATTAGGTTGTGAGGATGGATTTGTGCCCTCATAAGAAGAGACAGAAGAGAGCTTGTTTCTTGTCTCTCTGCTGTCTATCATGTGATGATACAATAAGATGATAAAACATAAAATAGAAGCTCACCAGGCACTGAATTTGCTAGTACCTTAATTTTGTATGTCCTAGCCTTCAGAACTGTGAGAAATAAATTGCTGTTTAAGCCACCTAGTCTATGGTAATTTTTCTATAGACGTCAAAACTGACTACAACATAGTCCAACAAAATATTAGTCTCAATTAGCTTTGAATTTTCCTTTTTTTTTTTTTTTTTTTGACACAGCATCTTTCTCTGTCCCCCAGGCTGGAGTGCAGTGGCACAATCTCGGCTCACTGCAAGCTCCGCCTCCCAGGTTCACGCCATTCTCCTGCCTCAGCCTCCCGAGTAGCTGGGACTACAGGCGCCCACCACCAGGCCCGGCTAATTTTTTGTATTTTTAGTAGAGACAGGGTTTCACCGTGTTAGTCAGGATGGTCTCGATCTCCTGACCTCGTGATCTGCCCGCCTCGGCCTCCCAAAGTGCTGGGATTACAGGTGTGAGCTACTGAGCCGGCCTGAAGTTTCCTCTTAATGCAAACACAACCCACAAGGAGTGCACTGTGAACAAAATGTCCTTCAGGTGATGGGCCCGGTGCTTGGGAAAGCTTTTGCAAACAATTCTCACAACAAAGAATGGGAAAGAGGATTCTCTAAGGCGACCTCAAATAAGAGCAGAAGAATTACCAAATCTCAATCTTTTGTCCCCAGATACTTGGGAGAAAGCAATGATAGTAAGGATAAAAAAGGTATGGCTGGAACACAGTGTCCTAGGTAAAGAAAAATACTCATTTTTTCACTATCTGTGACTTAAAAAGGTCACACTTGTTAAACATTTACTATCGAGCCACTAGGTTTAAATTAAATTATAGAAGTAATGACATTCAACATAAAGCTCCATACATACCAATAAAGATGGTAAATCTAAATAAAGAGAAAAGACAATTATATGCTATTTTTCTTCAAAAGCAATTTTCAAATGTAAGAACACAAAATGTTTGAAAGCATAAGTATGAGAAACCTTTCAAACATTTCCTAAAAGAGCTAGTATAGCTATGTTAAGGAGATATAGTAAACCTTAAATAAAAATGTAGCATGAGAGACAAAGATTGTGATTATAAAAGAAACTTTTCAACAGGAATGTGTAAGAATTCTAAGTGTGCAATTAATAAGATAGTTGTTATATATAATACAGTATTTAAAGAGAAACTACATTAGAATTTGAAATAGAGACAAATCTACAAATACCTTTTGGTATTCTTAAAAATCTTTTTCAAGTGAGACTATTTTTAAAAAATTAGAAGATTTAGTAAATAATATCAATAAACAACAGATTTCATTGAAGTATATAGCATGCAAATGCTTTTCAAAGAACCATGTGTCATTTATTTACCAAATCTATTTATTTACCAAATCTATTTACCAAAATAGATTATATCCTGAGTCATAAAAAGGTTTCAGCAATTTTAGAAGACATGACTTATATAATTTCCTGATGACTTTAAAATGAAATCAGATTCAATAACAAAAAGTTAATTAGAAAATCAAGGAGTTTGAAAATTAAGTGACACTCTGAACGATAAGTCAAAGGGCCAATTTTATTTAAAAATGAGTACATTTTATTTAAAAATGAGTAAATTGATAAAATAACAAAATTTACTAGATTTAGGAAAGCAACAAGTCATCAGATTTTTATTGTCATTAAATAAAATATTATCAGCAAAAGGTTGAAAAGTAATGACATAGGCTTCCCAAATATACATAACAAAATGTAAGTTATATCTAAATAAAGTAGAATAGAGGAAATAACAAATATGATGAAGAAACTTATGAAACAAAATATAGAGGTAAAATGAAAAGAACTAAAAATTTTTAAATGAAAGGTCAGCACAAACCAATAAAATTTCTAAAAAGACTGGATAATTAATGAGAGAAATATAGATTAATAATATCACAACTTTAAAAATTTCCGTGGACAGATACTAAAGTTATTTAGAGTATAGTTAGGCAATTGCAGAAAATAACTTTTTGTCAATTAGTTTGATAATTTAGATGATAAAGACAACTTTTATGAAACACTGAAAAAAACCCTAATAATAACATAAAAATGGCCCTATGTGTATATGAAAATATCAAGAGTCCTATATGAACCTAAGAAACTGAATTTGTAATTTGAAACACTGTTATAAAATCAATTCTAGGACCAGATGGTTCAATTACAAATTCCTCAAATCATTCAAAGGAGTAATATCACTAATTTACAAACTGCCAGAAAATATAAAAAGTTAGAACACTTTTCATCTAATTTTTATGAAGAAAATATATGTTTTATACAAAAAGCTAAGATATAAGATAAAATAATGATGAGGTTATAGCTCTTTTAAATATGTATATGTTTGTGTTAATATCTCTCGTATGTATATATATAAAATGCTACCAAGTTAAATTTATGGTAGATTAAAAGCAAACTACCTAATAATCATTTGACATTTTGCAAGAAATGTAAAAATGGCTTAAAATTGAAAAGCAATATAATTTACTGTGCCAATAATTGTTAAGCAATCATGTAATCATCTCAATAAATGCCACAAGAACATTGGATAAAATCCATTTGTGATCATAAACTCTGAACTTATTAGAAATAGAAGAAAATGCATTGTTCTGACACAAGGCACTCCTAAAAGTCATACAGAAAGAATAATACATACTGAAACAATAGTACATACTAATGAAGTAGTGAATAAGGAAATCAACTACATACGGCTGAAAAAAATCATATTCAGTTATATTCAATTACTTTTCTAGGACTCACTGGAGAACTGAGATGGTGGGACAAACTTAACATCCCATGCCTCCCCAAACTTGGAGACATAGAAATAAGAGCTGAGATCTGCTTATCTGGAGCAGAAGGCACTGGAGCCATAAGCTGGTGGGACCATTTAGATGCACTGCTAGAGGCTAGTGTGAACTAGTATGAGACTGAGAAAATTGCAGAAGATTTAGTCTTAGGAAGTTTCAACATTTGGTTATTTTAACTTCCATTACCCCACCATGTTCTTATCAAAAATATTTGAGGGAGATTGCCCTCATGGTTCTGGCAAGGGAAAGAAAAGAATATCAACTGTGAAATATTTCCAAACTATTCGAGATAACAAAGGCATACTCTTTGGAACCAAAGACTTATTTCAAAGTCTTTTCCTGAGGAGGAGTGGCATTCATCCTACTCCTGCTCCTCTAGTTTTCATATTTCAAATAAGGGAGGAAAAACATGGATATCACTTGGAATCACTTGAGAAGGTCACAGCTCAGAGACACAGGCTCAAGAATGTGATATAATTGGAAAATTATAAGACATTCCTCTCCCTACAGATTAATACCATACTAATAAAGTTTTAAAATAATAGCAATAGATTATAGCTGAAACATTTGCAAGCAAAAGCCTCTTTTTGTGGAGAAGGACTTAGGGAAACCCAAGTAAAAAATAAGAGCAAAAATAAAGACACCAGAGGAATTTTAAGCTTCTGTCACCTACGGCAACAGAAAATATTAAACATTTAACAGAAAACATTTAACCCCTAGTCGGATTAAATCTTCAAACTTTAGTATTATTTGCCTCAGATCTTATTAACTAATACACTGTATCTGGATTTAAATAACAACAGCAACATAAATCAGAAGGCATTTCAAAAATAGAAGAAAATAGAGTCTGAACAAAAAAGGAAAGGAAAAGAACCAGACACATATGTCTATCCTTATGCCAGTACCACACTGTCTAGATTACTTTTGCTTCACAGTAAGTTTAAAATAGGAAGTCTGAGCCCTTTTACTTAAAAATGTCTTAAGAAAACAAAAATAGAAACACAACATACCCAAACTTTTGTGATGAAACAAAAATAGTACTCTTAGAAAAGTTGGTAGCAATAAATGCCAAAAAAGAGGAAAGAACTCATATAAACAACCTAACTTTACACTCAAATAACTAGAAAAAGAACAAATTAAGCTCCAGCTTACTAGAAGGGAAAAATTTTAAAAAGATTAGAGCAAAAGCAAATAAAATGGAGACTAGAAAAGTAATAGAAAGATCAATGAAACTAAAAGTGAATTTTCTTGAAAGATAAAATAATTGACAAACCTTTAGCTACAGTAACAAAGAAAAAGAGAAAAAAGACCCAAGTAAAAAGTTCTGTTATTAATTTTTCTTTTAGTTTCTTTATTGACTCACTGGTTGTTCAGGGGAGCATGTAGTTTATTTTCCACATATTGTGAATTTTCCAATATTTCTCCTGCTATTGATTTCTAGTTTTATACCATTGTGGTTGGAAAAGATACTTGATATGATTTAAATATTTTTTTTATTTGGACTTGTTTGTAGTCTATGTTCCATGTGCATTAGAGAATAATGTGTATTCTATGCTTTGGGGTAGAATGTTCAATATATGTCTATTAGGTTAATTTGGTCTAAAGTGTAGTTTAAATCGGATGTTTCCATATCGAGTTTCTGACTAGATGAGGCCATTGTTGAAGTGATGTATAGAAGTCTGCAGCTATGATTGCGCTGAAGTCTATCTCTACCTTTAAATCTTCAAATATTTGCTTTATATGTCTAGGTGCTCCAATGTAGAGTGTGTATATATTTTTATTGTTATATCCCCTTAATCAACTGACCTCGTTATCACTGTATAATGATCTTTCTAGTCTCATTTTACAGTTTTTAATTTAAAGCCTATTTTGTCTAATATAACTACCCCTACTCTCTTTTGGTTTCCATTTGGATGCAATCTTTTTCCATCTCTTTGCTTTCAATTTACGTGTGTCCTTAAAAATGAAATGAGTCTCCTGTAGGCCACATGTAATTGGATTTTTTTTAAAGTCCATTCAGCCACTAGAGTATGTCTCTTGATTGCAGAATTAAACCCATTTACATTCAAAGTGATTATTAATAGGTAGGGAGTTACTACCTATCAATAATCTAGTTGTTAAGTCTAGATTTTTCACAGATGTTCTTTAACAAGTCCATGAAGTTTTCTCTTTTTTTATTAGCTGATACATATTTTTATACATTTCCTTTAAAAGATGTTGGCTTATGGCAAATGTTTTTCTACTTCTAGTGAGATGATCACAAGCTTTTATTTTCTCTTTTTAGTCTCTTAAAATGGAGGAATACATTGTTTAAATTTTAATGCAACTCAGTACTGTATTCCTGAGATAAAACTTACTTGTGGATGACATACTTATTCTTTTATACATTGCTGAATTAAAATTTCAAACACAGTTTATTAATAATATTTGCATCTATGTTTATTTGGAATATTGGTCTATAATTTCTTGAATTGCAATGGTTTGTTTCAGTTTGGCATTAATGTTTCATAAAATAATTTAGGTGCTATTCGAGGTTCATTCATATTACTTATAAACTTTATTTAATTATTTAATTTGTAACAGATTTCAGTAACTTCATTTGTAAATTGAATGAAGCATAATTTTGTAATTATTTTATTTAATTTTCAGTTAATTCTAATTTAAATAATTTTAAAAATATGTATAAATTTGTATTTTTTAATTCAGTATATGTTCTTTTATTATAGGAGTTAAATCATGCTTATAATGTGTTCTTATTAAACATGAATGGGTATATAATATATACTAATTTGGGAAATTTTATACAAATATTTATTAGCTCAGGCTAGCTAATAGGTTATTTAGATGTTTTGAATACTTTATCTGTGAATAAGAGATATGTGAATATATTTGGCTTATCGAGGGTTTGACAATTGCTGTACTTTTCAGTTAAATTTCATACTATTACATCTGAAAAAACATTTTAAATTGTGCATCAATTTGGATATCTCATATTTTTAATTATGGAAGTTATGCATTTCTAAATGACATAATGTGTTTTTATCCCTAATTTTTTTTAACCAGAATATTATTTTTTAAAAATGTAAATATATGCCAGGTGCGATGACTCATGCCTGTAATCCCAGCACTTTTGGAGGCCGAGGCGGGCGGATCATAAGATCAGGAGTTCAAGACCAGTGTGACCAATATGGTGAAACCCTGTGTCTACTAAAAATACAAAAATTAGCCATGAGTGATGGCAGGCGCCTGTAGTCCCAGCTATTCGGGAGGCTGAGGCAGGAGAATCGCTTGAACCCCGGAGGCGGAGGTTGCAGTGAGCCGGGATCGTGCCACTGCACTCCAGCCTGGGCAACAAAGTGAGACTCTGTCTCAAAAAAAAAAAAAAAAAAAAAAAGTAAATATAGCTATATCAGCATACTTTTTGATATAATGTGGCCAGTCTATTTTCTTACATTTTCCTGTTTTTATTTATTTACTTTAAAAATAATGTGTGGGTACATAGTGGGTGTATGTATTTATGGGATACATGAGATGTTTTGATACAGGCATGCAATTTGAAATAAGCACATCATGGAGAATGGGGCATGTATCCCTTCAAGTATTTACACTTTGAGTTACAAATAATCCAATTACATTCTTTAAGTTATTTGAAAATATACAATTAAGTTATTATTCAATCTAATCACCCTATTTTGCTATCAAACAGTAGGTCTTATTGATTATTTCTACTTTTTTGTAACCATTAATTATTCTCACCTCCCCCTCCAACACCCAGCACCATTTCCAGCCTCTGGTAACCATCCTTCTACTCTCTATATTCATGGTTTCAACTGATTTGATTTTCAAACCCCCAAATAAGTGAGAACACAAAATGTTCATCTTTCTGTGCCTGGTTTATTTTACTTAACATAATGATCTCCAGTACTATCCATGCTGTTGCAACACACTGGATGTCCTTCTTATTTATGGCTGAATTGTGTATATGTACCACATTTTCTTTATCCATTCATCTGCTGATGGACACTTAGGTTGCATCCAATTCTTAACTATTGTAAGTGCTGCAACAAACGTGAGTGTGCAGATACTTATTTGATATACTGATTTGCTTTATTTTGAGTATATACCCAACGGTGGGATAGCTGAATTATATGGTCTCGATTTTTAGGTTTTTGAGGAATCTCCATACTGTTCTCCATAGTGGTTGTGCTAACTTATATTCCCACCAATAGTGTACAAGAGTCCCCTATTCTCCATATCCTTAGCAGCATATGTTATTACCTGTCTTTTGGATGTAAGCCATTCCAACTGGGGAGAGATAATATCTCATTGTAGATATTTGCATTTCTCTGACTATCTATGAGGTTGAGCCCCTTTTCACATGCATGTTTACCATTTGTATGTCTTCTTTTCAGAAATGTGTATTCAAATCTTTTTTTTTTTTTTTTTTTGAGACGGAGTCTCGCTCTGTCGCCCAGGCTGGAGTGCAGTGGCGCAATCTCGGCTCACTGCAAGCTCTGCCTCCTGGGTTCACACCATTCTCCTGCCTCTGCCTCCCAAGTAGCTGGGACTACAGGCGTCCACCATCACGCCCGGCTAATTTTTTTGTATTTTTAGTAGAGACGGGGTTTCACCATGGTCTCGATCTCCTGACCTCGTGATCCGCCCACCTCGGCCTCCCAAAGTGCTGGGATTACAGGCGTGAGCCACCATGCCCGGCTCAAATCTTTTGTCGATTTTTATCAGATTATTATATATTTTTTTCCTATAGAGTTGTTTGAGCTCCTTATATATTCTGGTTATTAATTCCTTGTCAGATGGGTAGTTTGCATATATTTTCTCCCATTCTGTGCATTGTCTCTTCATTTTGTTGATCATTTCCTGTGCTTTATGAGAAGAGAGTGAAAGTATTCTAGAATGAATACAAGGAGACGAGTATGAAAAATTAAATTACCATGAGTACAAAGAAAGGACAGCATTCCACACACACCAATTGTGGAAAAGAAATGTGGGCCTGAAGAACAACCTGTAAGTTTGATAACATTAAATAGCAACAAAATCTCCTTATTTCATATTTACTTGTATGGTATATATCTATAGTCTTGGGTTTGGTAAATATTCTCCTAATTGATGACATACACATTAAAGTGAAATATTTATAAGAAAAAAATCAAATTTTTATTTGAACATTATATTTTAACATGAAAGCCAAATAAAAAGTATTAAAAGCAAAAGATATAACATAATATATAATGTCCTCTAAGTAACTTTCAAATATTAAAAAAAGATACTTTGAAACTTTTAAAAAAGGTTTTATGCTAAACTTTTTAAAGAGGTATTATTTTATCATTTATGTTTTCAAAATTTTTTCAAAATATTTCTCAGTTTTATATTTGTACTTTGTTTTTTTGATGTTTAATATCATGTTTATTTTTTTATTTATTTATTTTTATTATTATTGTACTTTAAGTTTTAGGGTACATGTGCACAATGTGCAGGTTAGTTACATATGTATACATGTGCCATGCTGGTGCGCTGCACCCACTAACTCGTCATCGAGCATTAGGTATATCTCCCAAAGCTATCCCTCCCCCCTCCCCTGACCCCACAACAGTCCCCAGAGTGTGATGTTCCCCTTCCTGTGTCCATGTGTTCTCACTGTTCAATCCCCACCTATGAGTGAGAATATGCGGTGTTTGGTTTTTTGTTCTTGCGATAGTTTACTGAGAATGATGATTTCCAATTTCATCCATGTCCCTACAAAGGACATGAACTCATCATTTTTTATGGCTGCATAGTATTCCATGGTGTATATGTGCCACATTTTCTTAATCCAGTCTATCATTATTGGACATTTGGGTTGGTTCCAAGTCTTTGCTATTGTGAATAATGCCACAATAAACATACGTGTGCATGTGTCTTTATAGCAGCATGATTTATAGTCCTTTGGGTATATACCCAGTAATGGGATGGCTGGGTCAAATGGTATTTCTGTTTCTAGATCCCTGAGGAATCGCCACACTGACTTTCACAATGGTTGAACTAGTTTACAGTCCCACCAACAGTGCAAAAGTGTTCCTATTTCTCCATACTCTCTCCAGCACCTGTTGTTTCCTGACTTCAAACTATACTACAAGGCTACAGTAACCGAAACAGCATGGTACTGATACCAAAACAGAGATATAGATCAATGGAACAGAACAGAGCCCTCAGAAATAACGCTGCATATCTACAACTATCTGATCTTTGACAAACCTGACAAAAACAAGAAATGGGGAAAGGATTCCCTATTTAATAAATGGTGCTGGGAAAACTGGCTAGCCATATGTAGAAAGCTGAAACTGGATCCCTTCCTTACACCTTATACAAAAATCAATTCAAGATGGATTAAAGACTTAAATGTTAGACCTAAAACCATAAAAACCCTAGAAGAAAACCTAGGCATTACCATTCAGGACATAGGCATGGGCAAGGACTTCCATGTCTAAAACACCAAAAGCAATGGCAACAAAAGACAAAATTGACAAATGGGATCTAATTAAACTAAAGAGCTTCTGCACAGCAGAAGAAACCACCAACAGAGTGAACAGGCAACCTACAAAATAGGAGAAAATTTTCGCAACCTACTCATCTGACAAAGGGCTAATATCTAGAATCCACAATGAACTCAAACAAATTTACAAGAAAAAAAACAAACAACCCCATCAAAAAGTGGGTGAAGGACATGAACAGACACTTCTCAAAAGAAGACATTTATGCAGCCAAAAAACACATGAAAAAATGCTCATCATCACTGGCCATCAGAGAAATGCAAATCAAAACCACAATGAGATACCATCTCACACCAGTTAGAATGGCAATCATTATATTTGTACTTTGTAAGTTTATGAAGACACAGTCAAGATTCCAGAGCAAATGATTATTAACAGATCACTAATCTTAAAATGATGAGCTATATTTTACAGAGATTGGAAGCAAATAATCTTCCTAGTTGATATTGACCACAATTCCTTCAGTTTTTGTTCCAATTATGAATCAGCTTTTCAAACAACCCCCAAGAGAAAGAAAGAAACGAGAGAGAGAGGAAGGAAGGAAGGAAGGAAGGAAGGAAGGAAGGAAGGAAGGAAGGAAGGAAGGAAGGAAGACACCAATTTCTCCAAGACACTAAACTGTTGATTTCTGGTGCTTAAATTGCCACAAAATTTGCAACAGAAAGCTACTAATACAATATATCTCTGGTCAATATGTATCACAGGCAGATGTTTTCACTCCTACCTCTCAACCAAAAAAAATAAAAAAGAAAAGAAAGAAAGAATAAAAAACACAGATGCCAGAACCTGTTTTACCATGTGTGATGAGGTAACTAGAAATTTGTTCCGCTTTCATTTTCAAAGTGTTATTTTCTATTTTTCTCTATGTGACCCAGTTGGATCTGGTCGCTTTCTGGTTGACTTTCAAAATGCAGTGATTTATCTCACTATAACATTTGTCTTAGCCAATTACATTCTTTTTGGTAGGAAGTCATGGACTTGAGCGTCAATAATTGCTTTGAAGAAGTCACAGATGAGAGAGAAATGAGAGGGAATAAAACACCCTCATTGTGAACAAACTATGTGGACCTCAGCCATAAATTTGCAGAAGAATTGTCCACAAGGTAAGGATAAGCATCATATAAATTATTTTGTTGAAATAAAAACCATTCTGAAAAGCTTCTTATGTATATAATTTCCTCATAAATATTTGCTTAATTAAATTGACCAGAAGGTAAACATAGTGTCTGGAAGACATTTAAAAAATATTCATGCAACACATTAAAATAAATAGAAATTTTAGGAAACTTGGGACTAGTTATGCTATTTGTCATAATGAACTTACTTTAAAATTTATCAAAAGTTTTTTTTCTCATTAAATCTGGAAATTAAGCAGGCACACAATGATGTAAGGAATAATGAACATTATCAAAATATGGATTCAACTCTTCTTTACACAGCAAAACATTCAATTTAAAGATAAATCTCACAGAGACTTATACTGAAAAAAAAATGTGCTTTGCAACAGAAAAAAATTAAAAAAAGAAAGCTAGTCCAAATATGGGCTAGTCTGACGCTGATGCTATTGTGGAGCATTTTATATTAGGATTCAATGTGGCTAGTCATGCCAACCTTAATACATGCAAAGCTGTTATAAATCAGGAAGCCATCTAAACTCTAGGAAAGAAAAAAGTACACCTCAGCTATAGTTAAAATGTTCTTAGGATTCTGTTTGCATGTTTACCTCTCTAAATTTGAAAATGCTAGATAGTCTTTATTGGACCCATATATGAGCTGAACCACTCATCTGTGCATATAGCTCACAGCCTATATTTCTATATTCCAGAAATGGTTCCTGGTAGACATTTCTTCGGGGGTCTATAACGTTTGACCCTCAAAGAACATTTGGTTGTGTCTACCTTTTATTTTTTCTCCATGCGGGATTTTCTGGTGAAAACTGGAAAACCTACTAGACAAATTGTAAAAGAGCTATAACACTTGGGCTGTGTCTCTTTGATCAGTCTGCTTCTAGGGCACTTATTTCAAGACTTTGAAATAGAGGAATCTGGTGTATAGAATTGCTTGTGACTTTTGCACATTGGTTTTGTATCCTGAGACTTCGCTGAAGTTCCTTATCAGCTTACAAGATTTTGGGCTGAGACAATGGGGTTTTCTAAATATACAATCATGTCATCTGCAAACAGAGACAATTTGACTCCCTCTCTTCCTACTTGAATACACTTCATTTCTTTTTCTTGCCTGATTTCCCTGGCCAGAACTTCCAATACTGTGTTGAATAGGAGTGGTGAGAGAGGACATCCTTGTCTTGGGCTGCTTTTCAAAGGGAATGCTTCCAGCTTTTGCCCATTAAGTATAATATTGGCTATAAGTTTGTCATAAATAGCTCTTATTATTTTGAGATATGTTCCATCAATACCTAGTTTATTGAGAATTTTTAACATGAAGCAATGCTGAATTTTATCAAAGGTCTTTTTTGCATCTATTGAGATAATCATGATTTTTTTCTTTTTTTTTTTTTTGGAACACAACCATAACTTTTTGTTTATTGCTTACATATTTCTTTTTTTATTATACTTTAAGTTTTAGGGTACATGTGCACATTGTGCAGGTTAGTTACATATGTATACATGTGCCATGCTGGCGCGCTGCACCAACTCGTCATCTAGCATTAGGTATATCTCCCAATGCTATCCCTCCCCCCTCCCCCCACCCCACAACAGTCCCCAGAGTGTGATATTCCCCTTCCTGTGTCCATGTGATCTCATTGTTCAATTCCCACCTATGAGTGAGAATATGCGGTGTTTGGTTTTTTGTTCTTGCGATAGTTTACTGAGAATGATGATTTCCAATTTCATCCATGTCCCTAAAAAGGACACGAACTCATCATTTTTTATGGCTGCCTAGTATTCCATGGTGTATATGTGCCACATTTTCTTAATCCAGTCTATCATTGTTGGACATTTGGGTTGGTTCCAAGTCTTTGCTATTGTGAATAGTCCCACAATAAACATACGTGTGCATGTGTCTTTCCAGCAGCATGATTTATAGTCCTTTGGGTATATACCCAGTAATGGGATGGCTGGGTCAAATGGTATTTCTAGTTCTAGATCCCTGTGGAATCGCCACACTGACTTCCACAATGGTTGAACTAGTTTACAGTCCCACCAACAGTGTAAAAGTGTTCCTATTTCTCCACATCCTCTCCAGCACCTGTTGTTTCCTGACTTTTTAATGATTGCCATTCTAACTGGTGTGAGATGGTATCTCATTGTGGTTTTGATTTGCATTTCTCTGATGGCCAGTGATAATGAGCATTTTTTCATGTGTTTTTTGGCTGCATAAATGTCTTCTTTTGAGAAGTGTCTGTTCATGTCCTTCACCCACTTTTTGATGGGGTTGTTTGTTTTCTTCTTGTAAATTTGTTGGAGTTCATTGTAGATTCTGGATATTAGCCCTTTGTCAGATGAGTAGGTTGCGAAAGTTTTCTCCCATTCTGTAGGTTGCCTGTTCACTCTGATGGTAGTTTCTTTTGCTGTGCAGAAGCTCTTTAGTTTAATTAGATCCCATTTGTCAATTTTGTCTTTTGTTGCCATTGCTTTTGGTGTTTTAGACATGAAGTCCTTGCCCATGCCTATGTACTGAATGGTAATGCCTAGGTTTTCATGGTTTTAGGTCTAACATTTAAGTCTTTAATCCATCTTGAATTGATTTTTGTATAAGGTGTAAGGAAGGGATCCAGTTTCAGCTTTCTACATATGGCTAGCCAGTTTTCCCAGCACCAATGCCTTTCTTCACAGAATTGGAAAAAACTACTTTAAAGTTCATATGGAACCAAAAAAGAGCCCTCATCGCCAAGTCAATCCTAAGCCAAAAGAACAAAGCTGGAGGCATCACACTACCTGACTTCAAACTATGCTACAAGGCTACAGTAACCAAAACAGCATGGTACTGGTACCAAAACAGAGATATAGATCAATGGAACAGAACAGAGCCCTCAGAAATAACGCCGCATATCTACAACTATCTGATCTTTGACAAACCTGAGAAAAACAAGCAATGGGGAAAGGATTCCCTACTTAATCATGTGACTTTTTTCATTGCTTTTATTTATGTGATGGATTACGTTTATTGATTTGTATATGTTGAATATGCATCCTAAGGATGAAGCCAACTTGATCATGTTGGGTAAGCTTTTTTGATGTGCTGCTGGGTTCAGTTGGCCAGTATTTTATTGAGGATTTTTCCATCTATGTTCTTCAGGGATATTGGCCTGAATTTTTTTTTTTATATCTGCCAGGTTTTGCTATCAGGATGATACTGGCCTCATAAAATGAGTTAGTGAGGAGTGCCTCTTTTTCTTTGTTTGGAAGAGTTCCAGAAGGAATGGTGCCAGCTCCTCTTTGTACCTCTACTAGAATTTGGCTGTAAGTCCATCTGGTCCTGGGCTTTTTTTGGTTGGTAAGCTGTTACTTACTGCCTGAATTTCAGAACTTGTTATCGTTCTCTTCAGGGATTTGACTTCTTCCTGGTTTAGTCTTGGGAGGGATTATGTGTCCATGAATTTATCCATTTCTTCTAGATTTCCTAGTTCATTTGCATAGAGGTGTTTGGAGTATTCTCTGATGTTAGTTTGTATTTCTGTGGAATCAGTGGTGAAATCATGTCCTTTTTAGTGACATGGATGAAGCTGGAGGCCATGATTCCCAGCAAACAAACACAGAAACAGAAAATCAAACACTGCATGTTCTCACTCATAAGTAAGAGTTGAACAGTGAGAACACATGGACACAGAGAGGTGAACATCACTCACAAGGTCCTGTGGGAGGGTGGGAGGCAAGGGGAGGGAGAGCATTAGGACAAATACCTAATGCATGTGGGGCTGAAAACCTAGATGACGGGTTGATAGGTGTCGCAAACCACAATGGGACATGTATACCTATGTAACAAACCTGTACGTTCTGCACACGTATCTCAGAACTTAAAGTAAATTTAAAATAAATAAATGAATAGAGGGATCTGACCTCTAATCTTTTCCTCCTTGGCTTGCTGAGATTGCAGGAATGCTATGGCTTGTCATTCAGAGGCTTTTTGCTTGATTGTTTAGACCCTGAACTTGTGCAGCTTAAGAGTTGTATATGTGTGTGAGGTGGGATAGTCTGGTTGTTAGGCTGAGTTTTCCATGTCTTTCCTCTCATCAAGATCTTGCCCTTCATGCTACACTTTTGTATTTCAGCCGCAAAAGAACACTTGTATGTCCACTGGTTTCACTGTACCTAGCAGAGTCCCTGTGTCTAGGAAATGTTCAGATTCTAAGCCTTAAATGACTTAAGTCCAGATCCACAAATACACTTGTGGAAAAAATGTTACTTCAGAATGTCATTTCTGCTGTCTTCCATAATCCCCTCACCAGAAAGATGGCCCCTCCTGTCTTGGAGACGTCAATATTTCTCTGATGTTTTTACATAGATGTTCTTAATGCAGCTTTTCTAGTTTTTTTTTTTTTCTTCTGGGGCACACAATCTACTTCATTCTGTTTTACAGTCGATATCCCAACATATTTTTTTCTAAAAAAATATAGATTAATATACAGAAAATTTGATAACAGATGCAAACATCTCAGTGGTTTTATAATGTTTTCTACCAGAAAGTGGCACATAACCAATGTCTGTTGTTGCCTTTGACTGCAGAGTGAGAGTGGTAATCTGTTCCTGTTTGCCTAGGACATGTGAGGTTCTCAGGATGCTGGACTTTCAGTGGTACAGCAAAAAATGTTCTTGGAATATTAAGATGAGTTGATCCACCTAAAATGAAAATCTACTAATGCATTCATTTTTAACGTGAGAAACACACAAGAACTCCAAATATAATAGTTCTTATTGTTTCTACTTTACACCAATGTCATGTGCCGGAGCAACAAAATGATATTCCAAAATTCTTATAACTGTTATTAAAACCTTACATTCAAACTCATAAAAGATTCAATCTCACTACTTGCTTCTTTTCTTGGAGAACATTACAAATACTATTTTGAAATAAATCTTTATGTGCTTTCTAAATTTTGTTTTGCTGTCTGATTCTATTAATTTCATAATCATGTATGATCTTCTGCAGCATATGGAAAGACCCTGAATTTTCATCCCAGATCCTCTGATAATTAGTTACATGACTTGATCAATTCTTAAAAACTCTGTTTTTAATCAGTAATGCATGAGTTATATTTGTTTCTTATATATTAAATGAGTTAATATCTGTAAAATACTTAAAACAATGGCAGTTGTATTAATGCTATATAAATATTAAATAAATGAAAACAAATGCATCTACTATTTTAAATTTTGACAACATATTTTCCTTCATAAGCTGCAGGCATAGTTATTTCTCCTATTTGAATTCAAATTGTTTGTTTTTTATAAGAAATTTCATGTAGCCATACTCTGTAACAAGTTTCGGTTGTTACAATGTGTCATGTGTTTGTATTAAACTAGTTTTGCCCAGGTTATTCAAAGAATCACACAGGGATCATTCAAAATTCCACTTGAATGTGTATGTATTTATAGGCTCCTTGAGGGCACCATCATTCATGATCATGAGTTTTACTAGTACATTTATGCTGACATCCTCTAAGTCTACTTTTCAGTATCTGCTGACCCAGTGCTGACTCTCCCTTTGCACCATTGTCTTTATGACATTTCAGTGTGGAATAGATGTCACCTGCAGTAACTCTCCTAATATGAGCATCCAGATTTGCTGCTTGCAGGCATTTTCTAGTACACTAGTCTGATCTTTTCCACGATGCAGGTTTGTTACAGCAATATGAAATTCTGGCTTGCTCTCTTTCTACTTATCTATAGAAATATTGCTAAAGTAAGTATATTTTTCATTTATTGATGTAACATTTACAGTCAAGTTTTAAGATGAATAGTTCAGTGTTCATTGCAGATTAAAATTTACATGCTTGCAGAATAATCTTATAATTAAAAAATTCTTAAAAATTATATTTTCAATATTATGAAGGCAAATTTTTAAAAAAGCAAGCATACTTTAATTATACTAAGGAAGATACTCAACATGTAATCACCAACTATTACTGTTTGTTTACTAAGTAATTATTTAAAAAATCAAATACATAAATAGTAAATAAAATTAATGACAGTTGTTCATATATTTTCTATGTAATATAATTGTTAAACTCACACAAATTAGTTTTCTCTAAAAAATTTCAAATGTGCTATTCTACCAAGAAAATTCATTCAACTCATATATTTTCTGACTTAATATAGTAAAAGCTGACATAGGCCATTTATACATGCCATTTTATTCTGAGATTCAATGCATGTTTATAAGTTATTCTTCTATCAATATGCTTCATTAATTTCAACAACCAATAAATGGAAAATTGAAAATTATTTTGAATATAACTATTATCAAGGGTCTGAAATATATGAAAGAAAAAACATTGCTGTCAATTATTAATCTGTTCATAAAACATATGAACAACAAAAAAATAAACTTTGTTGTCTTGGTCTTTTAAAATCACAGTACTGTAAAGGTATCTTCAAAAAAATCATCTTTTGCTACGATTTTCATGTGCTGGTATTAAATTAACAAAAATAAATATCTTAGGGAAATTAATATTTTATTTGAAAAATAAATATCACCAGCCTCTCATAAATATTTGCAATTATTAAAATCTAGACTTAGATGTCAAACTGAAAATTTGAACACAAAAGCTGGAAGTCTGTATTTATAAGTTACCAATATTTTTACAAATTTAATAATATATTTAATTGAAAGAATACTTACCTACTTAGAAATGGGTGACTGCATGGATGCATAAATGTAAATACAATATTCAAAATACATTGTTTGTAAATAGAATGAAATAACTTCAATGTCCTTAAGTCAGGAAAAAGTATTAATATATATGTTATGCCTTCCACTTTGTTTCATTCCTTCATTAGTGTTGCCTTACTATGTTTCTGCATAAACTGATGTCTTCGGTTAATAAGCTGTACTAAGATTCTTTAAATTTAACAGGAGAAATACGTCATGTCCACAGGTCATATTTTTACCAGCAGATGGCTCCCCTGGTGTTTTCCCCTACTAAGGATTCTTACAGGTTGAAATGCCAAATCAAACAATACCAAATGTAAATATGTATTCTCTACTTCATGCCAAGATTAATATACATTTTCACTTCCATCTAAGATACTTTTACAAGCTTCTTGAAATGCATTGAAAAGCTAACACAATTACAAGCACATTTCAAGTATTAATAAAAACATACTTTACAATTTTCTGTTTTTTTCACCAATGGAAGAAGACAGACTGCAGTTTCCATGCCTGTATCTACAGAGAACTTCAGAAAACATTTTTAAAGTACTAAGTCACAAAAATTAAAACCTGAACAGAAACGCACTATTGATTTATTAAAATTTATTATTTTAAAAGACATTCTATTTAAAATACAAACATGCAAACATAAATTTTCAATAGTATTCTATGTGTTATTAATGTAGTTCAATTTTAATAGCCTTTGATCTATGCCTTTCCAGGAACTAAATGGAGTAATGGTAGATTGCTTGGTTCCAATATAGTGTTAGCAAAAAGAGTCAAGAGGGAAAAAAAAAGGAAAGTCCTACCCCTCCGAAGATAAAAAGCTAATCAGCTATAAAAGAGACCGTCAATAAAATATTTTATTTGATCTTGGTTGAGATGCGGTGCTTTTTAAGAACTAAGTGTATTTTCAAGTTGTCCATTCCTCAAAGATATGACAATTGCTTCAGACTTAGCCATGCATAATCTCATAAATTCCATTTCATTGTGACATGTAGTAAACCCATTAGTTTATTTATACCATATATTTTTACAGTTTTAAAAATAAATGTACTTACACTCTCTTTAGTCACATAATAATCATTAATATTAGAAATTGAAAAAATAGATTTCATATAATATAGCAAATTTCAGGGCATTTTTAATTCTTACACAGTAAAAAAAGTTACATACTTTGAACAGACTGTCTTAAAATATTTTCTTAAAATCATTAGACAAGTTTAGATCTTTGTTTAAATCATGTATTTTTCATTATCTTTCAAAATGAAAGTATGATTGCTATTCCAAATAAATTCAAATATGCATTTATAAGAGGAATTATAGATTTTTCACTGTAAATTTTATTTTATTTTCTGTTGTTAGTAATTAAATTTTTTCTTTTATAAAAAATAGCATTGTGAAGATACTTTACTAGATATGTTAAGATAAGATTTTTTTTTTTTTTTGGCTTCCAAGTGTTGTATTTCACTAAATGATTATTTTCTTAAATGGTAGTTTTTTTTTTGACAGTCAAAATTCTTCTCTGCTAAAAATAATTGTGGATTGAATAAAAATAGTGGACATGAAATGTAATTTATTTAAAAAACATTGATTTAATTAACAAAATTTAAAATATAAGTTACATTCTAAAAGGTGAAAGTCAATTAAGAATATTCATAATTGTGCTTATAAATATGCATAGAGAGCTAAGAGGCAGCTAATTTATAATGCTAAGACCTGAGTTATCAAAAACAGCACACACAGTGTCACTTACATTTATTTCATAAATCCAGAAGAGATGTTCAATTTCTTTTAAAAATTAATTATTTCATGCATATTTTATCTAAGCAAATGCAGAGCTCTGTTTTCTTGTTTTTAAATTTATGCTTAGACTGCACAGTATTATATATACTTATTCTGAAATTATAGTTACTACTTGTTTCCAATATTTTTTTCAACAATTCTCTGAACTAGAAACTTAAGGAAGAAATGCTATATTTATCTGTATCTCTGTATCTAGCTATATCTATAGCTATCTATATATCATCTATAACTCCTTATTTTATGTATTTTCACTTATTTATCTTTTATTGGTTTCTAATTTCTATTTTATTTTGGTTTGTTTTTTGAGATTGATGCACAATCATTAATTTTCAACATTATATTTACTATGTGAATCAAATACTGTGTATTTCCATTTTAGTACTTCTGCAGCTGTAATTTCCAGGATTTGATATGTTTCATAATTCTTTTCCTAAAATACGTACGATGTATTTGGTGATGTTTTTAGAGTTTTGAAATATTTTTATTACTGATTTTCTATTGAATTACACTGTTCTAGGAAAATATTCTGAAATGAAAAAGCATAGATTAGGAATGCTGCAGCTAGAGCACAGGGGGCAATAAAAGCTCTACTTCCGAAGGAAGGAAAGAAGCACTTGTGAGGGCCACACTCGTGATACATAGGCCCACTGAAGGACTAAGAAGTAATCAGACGACTATAGAAACACTCCTGTCCTCCCACACCTAACCAATAAACCAAGTCTCCAGTATAATAATGGATTATAACTCAGACTTTTTGTTTGTTTGTTTGTTTTAGACGGAGTTTTGCTCTTGTAGCCCAGGCTGGAGTCCAATGGTGCGATCTTGGCTCACTGCAACCGCCGCCTCCCAGGTTCAAGCGATTCTTCCGTCTCAGCCTTCCGAGTAGCTGGGATTACAGGTGCACGTCACCACGCCCAGCACATTTTTGTATATTTTTAGTAGAGACAGGATTTCACCATTGTTGGCCAGGCTAGTCTAGAACTCCTTTAGAGCTCTTCTCCTTAAGGGAGAAGATTTATTATTCTCGAGGATAATAAATCGAGGAGGAAGATTTACTATCCTTGAAGGGGTCTGTTTTGGAAGCTGCCATGCCCTCAGCCCCTAAATAAAAATATAAAACCTAAATATAAAAGGTGCCATGCCCTCAGCCCCTAAATATAAATATAAGGATCCAATTTTTTGGATCCACTATAAGGATCCAAAGGTCAGTTCTAGAACTCGTGAGGTCTCCTTTTTTTGGATCCAATATAAGGATCCAATTATTTTCTTCTGCATGTAAATACCCAATTTTTAAATGCCATTTATTTAAGAGATTGCCCATTTCTCATTGTGTGTTCTTGAAATTTCTGTCAAAAATCAATTGACTGTAAATGGGCAGGTTTATGGGCTTTCTATCCTGTTCCATAAGTCAACGTGTCTGTTTTTATGCTAACGCCATGTTGTTTTGATGCAATTACTTTATACTTTGAAGTCAAGTAGAGTGATGCTGCCAATTTTATTCTTTTTGCTAAGGATTATTTTGGCTACTTGGCATCTTTTGAGGTTCAATGTGAATTAAAAGTTTGTGTTCTCCATTTCTGTGAAAAATGATACTGGGATTTTTATAGAGATTACAATGAATCTGTAAATCACTTTGGGTAGTATGAACATTTTCACAGTATTAATTCTGGAAATTAATGAACACTAAATAGCTTTCCATTTATTTGGATTTTTAACTCAAGCAAGGAAACAACCTAATTATTTTCAACTCAAGCAAGGAAACAACCCAATTAAAAATGGGCAAAGGACAGATTTTTTTTTTTTTTTTTTTTTTTTTGAGACGGAGTCTCGCTCTGCTCAGGCTGGAGTGCAATGGTGTGATCTCGGCTCACTGCAACATCCCCTCCGGGGATCAAGGGATTCTTCTGCCTCAGCCTCCTGAGTAGCTGGGATTACAGGCGCCCGCCACCATGCCCAGCTAATTTTTGTACTTTCAGTAGAGACAGGGTTTCACCATGTTGGTCAGGCTGATCTCAAACTCCTGACCTCATGATCTGCCTACCTTGGCCTCTCAACATGCTGGGATTAAAGGTGTGAGCCACCATGCCCGGCTCAGACATTTCTTAAAAGAAGACATACAGACATACAGACGGCCAATATGTACAGGAAAAAATGCTTACCATCACTACTTATTAGGGAAATGCAAATTAAAACCAAAATGAAATATCACTTCCCACCCATTAGAATGGATTTTATCGAAAAGATGAAAGATGAGTGTTGGCAATGATGCAGAGAAGGGAATTCTTGCATATTGTTGGTGAGAATATAAATTAGCACAGCCATTATGAAAAATGGTATGGAGATTCCTGAAAAAAACTAAAAATAGAACTAATACATGATCCAGCCATCCCATTTCTGGGTATATATCCAAAGGAATTGAAATTAATATGTTGAAGGGATATCTGCACTCTCTTGTTCATTGCAGTATTATTTACAATAGTCAAGATATGGAATTAACTTAAATGTCTATCAATGGATGAAAGGATAAGCTGTCTCTTTCTCTCACTCTCTTTCTCTCTCTCTCTCTCACACACACACACAAAAACAAACACACAGACACACTGTGAAATGCTACTCAGCCTTAAAAAAAGAAGAAAATCCTTTCATTTGTGACAACATGGATGAGTCTGTAGGACATTATGCCAAGTGAAATAAGACTGGCACAGAAAAATAAATGCTGTATAATCTCACTTATATATGAAATCTAAAAAGTAGAGAGCACAGTGATGTTTAACAGAGGCTGTAGGAGTGAGGAGGAAGGCAATGGGAAGTTCTTGATCAAAGGGGACATGACAAACAGGCTTTGAGATATATTTCACAGCAGAGTGACTACAGTAAAAAACAATGTATTGCATATTTCAAAATAACTGAGTAATTTCAAATCTTTCACCATAAAAGTGATAGGTGAGATGATGGCTATGTTAATTAACCTGATATAATAATTTCCCATAGTATACATATATCATAACTTCACATTGAACACCATAAATGTATAAAATTATGATTTGTCTATTAAAAATAATATTAATAAAACTTAATATATTTAATATATTAAAGACCATGATGAAAATAATAAACCACATGTAAGAACAGAAGGACAATGCAATTATACACATAGAAATGCTAGAAATAAAAATATACTGTAATAAACATAAAGAATACCTTTGAAGATCTAATCCGTAGACTGGACAGATATGAGGAAAAATCTGTAAACTTCATTATAGGTCAACAGAATTTTCCTAAACTGGAAATACAGAAAGAAAAATATTTTTAAAAAAATTATCAAAAAAAGGCAAAATAAAATATTTAAGAATTGTGAGTTAATATTTATTAAAATTTCATTTCCTTTTATACTAGGATCCACCATTTCTATGGAAAATCTTGTTTTGTTTTCAGTCTTTTTGTTACATAGAAGGCAATCTGTCACAATTCTTCACCTGATTTATATTTTACTTACCCTTCTTTGGTGTATAATACTATGGATTTTAACACATATCATCACTACCACAGTGAGTCAATGAAACAGTTCTTTCTGTTCAAAACAAACACACACTTTGCTATCACTTCACCTTTATTTTTTTTCTAACAATGTTTTCATCCTTTGTTTAATTTTTTTTTGTTACTGTTGTTTCATTAAACTCCATGAATGTAATGGCTTTCAGCATGTATGAAAAAACCTCTTCCAATATTTATTGTAACATTTTCACTGAATATTTTTACTCTCCTCTCATTCTGAGACTCTGAAAGTATGTATATTTGAACACTCCATAGGGCATAAATGTCTCTCATGCTTTATTCTGTATTGTTCCTGCCTAGTTTTCTTTGTGCTTTGATATGGTTTGGCTGTGTCCCCGCCTAAATCTCATCTTGAATTCCCCCATGTTGTGGGAGGGACCCTGAGAGAGGTAATTGAATCATGAGAGCAGGTCTTTCCCTTGCTGTTCTCATGACAGTGAATAAGCCTCATGAGACCTGATGGTTTTATAAGGGGGAATTTCCCTGCACAAGCTCTCTCTTTGCCTGCCACCATCTACAGCTGTGACTTGCTCCTCCTTGTTTTCTGCCATGATTATGAGCCCTCCCCAGCCATGTGGAATAGTAAGTCCATTAAACCTCTTTCTTTTGTAAATTGCCCATTCTCAGGTATGCTTTTATTAGGAGCATGAAAATGAACTAATATATGCTTCAATTTGAATTTTTAATAGCATATTTTATAGATCACTAATTCTCTTTTTGGTTTGTCAATTTTGCTGCTAATTATCAGTTATTGAATTGTACATTTAATTTTTTTAATTCTTGAATATATATTTTATGCCTCCCATTTGTTTTTTTTTTCTGGCACTTTATTCTGGCAAAAATATTTCTACTTTTTTATAATTTATTGATATTTTATTTATAGTTGCCTTACACCTTCTGTATTAAAACTCCAATATCTAGTTCACTTATGGGTCTATTATCTGGAATATTTTTCTGTCTGGTTTTCAAATAATTGTATATGTTGACTTGTGTGTCTGATAGAGTTTCAACTGCATATATTGATGACAAAATGTTGTGGGGAATTTGGATGATATTTTTCTATAGAGCTTTTTTTTGCTGTGACATAATGTAAGGATAGATCATTCTTTTCCTATAAATGTAAATCCTCCCTTTATTATCAGACTTTAAGAATTTGCATTAAAATTCTGTTAAATGTGTCTAAGAGAGGCCCCCTTCTTGCTCAAATCCAGAAATATAGGTGTTCTTTCTCTCTTTTTCCCCCTTCCTCCCTCTCTTCCTCCCTCCCTTCCTCACCCCTCTCCCTCTGTGCTTCCCTTCCTTCCCTCCTTCCTTTCTTCCTTCCCTCTTTCTTTCTCCCTTCCTTCCTTCCTTCTTCCTTCTTTCCTTCTTTCTTTTTCTCTCTCTTTTTTCTTTCTTTCTCTCTCTCTTTTTTCTTTTCTTTCTCTTTCATTCTTTCATTTTCTTTTCTTTCTTCCCTTCCTCCCTCCCTTCTTTCTTTCTTCCCTTCCTGCCATCTTGCCTAATTCTTTCTTTTCTCTTTCTTTTGTTGAACTTTTATTCACACAGTTTTGTCCTCCTGGTCTAGTGAGACAAGTGTAAATTCTAGGTTCTATAAATTTGTCCATTCTTCTACTGTGCACTGGAATTCAAAAAGTATCCCGAGGAAACACAGGGATATTTCAGTGTGTTTCACGTCCATCTGACATCTTGGCTTCTCAAGTCGTGGCTGCTTTGGTTGTTCATCTATGCTTTTAGCCATTTGTGGACTTTTTTTTTTGGTATTGGTTTCTTTCAAATATTTTTGTCTACACTTTATATTTGTTTTCAGTGGGAAGGTTTTTGTATTCCAAATACTTTAGAATAGACAGAGGCATAATTTTTCTGTCCTTCTGTGTTTAGATACTATTCTAATATGACGTAATTAACTCCTGACATTTACACATAATGTTATTTCTGTAGAATTTTAGCCACAGAAGAACATAAATACATATCCTGGATGAGGTTCTTCCAGAAGTGTTTTAGCTCTTGGAGTATCTGGACTTTTTGTACCTATCACAAAGGAGATTATTAATACATATTTATTAAATGAAAGAATATGCTTTACACATTATTTTTTTGTATTGCTGAAATTACAGGTCATTCCTTCACATGTTCTGCTTCATACTACGTTCATCAATAATCAGTGATTTCTAGTTTTTCATTGTCTTCATTTTACTCTAAATCTCAGTTTTTATTTTTCTAAGAATCAGGTAAGCTATAAGTCAACATATAATTGATTTTCTAGAAAAAGGTATATAAAAAATTATTCTTATTTTAAAATATATTTATTAATTATGGAGCAGCACAGAGATGGCAACAGTTGAGGTCAATGATAAAGTACTTCAAATATGCCAGACGAGACCATGGACCATAGTTATTGTAATAGTTTCAATACGATTTTCTATTTTATCTGGCTTCTTTCAATTTTATAATCTGTGTCCTGGACATTCAATTCAATATATTATAAGAGCTATCTATGACAAACCCACAGCCAATATCATACTGAATGGGCAAAAACTGGAAGCATTCCCTTTGAAAACTGGCACAAGACAGGGATGCCCTCTCTCACCACTCCTATTCAACATAGTGTTGGAAGTTCTGGCCAGGGCAATTAGGCAGGAGAAGGAAATAAAGGGTATTCAATTAGGAAAAGAGGAAGTCAAATTGTCCCTGTTTGCAGATGACATGATTCTGTATCTAGAAAACCCCATTGTCTCAGCCCAAAATCTCCTTAAGCTGATAAGCAACTTCAGCAAAGTCTCAGGATACAAAATCAATGTACAAAAATCACAAGCATTCTTATACACCAATAACAGACAAACGGAGAGCCAAATCATGAGTGAACTCCCATTCACAATTGCTTCAAAGAGAATAAAATACCTAGGAATCCAACTTACAAGGGACGTGAAGGACCTCTTCAAGGAGATCTACAAACCACTGCTCAAGGAAATAAAAGAGGATACAAACAAATGGAAGAACATTCCATGCTCATGGGTAGGAAGAATCAATATGGTGAAAATGGCCATACTGCCCAAGGTAATTTATAGATTCAATGCCATCCCCATCAAGCTACCAATGACTTTCTTCACAGAATTGGAAAAAACTACTTTAAAGTTCATATGGAACCAAAAAAGAGCCCGCATCACTGAGTCAATCCTAAGCCAAAAGAACAAAGCTGGAGGCATCATGCTACCTGACTTCAAACTATACTACAAGGCTACAGTAACCAAAACAGCATGGTACTGGTACCAAAACAGAGATATAGACAAATGGAACAGAACAGAGCCCTCAGAAACAACGCCGCATATCTACAAATATCTAATCTTTGACAAACCTAAGAAAAACAAGCAATGGGGAAAGGATTCCCTATTTAATAAGTGGTGCTGGGAAAACTGGCTAGCCATATGTAGAAAGCTGAAACTGGATCCCTTCCTTACACCTTATACAAAAATTAATTCAAGATGGTTTAAAGACTTAAATCTTAGACCTAAAACCATAAAAACCCTAGAAGAAAACCTAGGCATTACCCTTCAGGACATAGGCATGGGCAAAGACTTCATGTCTAAAACACCAAAAGCAAAAAAACAAAAGACAAAATTGACAAATGGGATCTAATTAAACTAAAGAGCTTCTGCACAGCAAAAGAAACTACCATCAGAGTGAACAGGAAACCTACAAAATGGGAGAAAATTTTCACAACCTACTCATCTGACAAAGGGCTAATATCCAGAATCTACAATGAACTCAAACAAATTTACAAGAAAAAACAAACAACCCCATCAAAAAGTAGGCAAAGGACATGAACAGACAATTCTCAAAAGAAGACATTTATGCAGCCAAAAAACACATGAAAAAATGCTCATCATCACTGGCCATCAGAGAAATGCAAATCAGAACCACAATGAGATACCATCTCACACCAGTTAGAATGGCAATCATTAAAAAGTCAAGAAACAACAGGTGCTGGAGAGGATGTGGAAAAATAGGAACACTTTTACACTGTTGGTGGGACTGTAAACTAGTTCAACCATTGTGGAAGTCAGTGTGGCGATTCCTCAGGGATCTAGAACTGGAAATACCATTTGACCCAGCCATCCCATTACTGGGTATATAGCCAAAGGACTATAAATCATGCTGCTATAAAGACACATGCACATGTATGTTTATTGCGGCACTATTGACAATAGCAAAGACTTGGAACCAACCCAAATGTCCAACAATGATAGACTGGATTAAGAAAATGTGGCACATATACACCATGGAATACTATGCAGCCATAAAAAATGATGAGTTCATGTCCTTCGTAGGGACATGGATGAAATTGGAAATCATCATTCTCAGTAAACTATCACAAGAACAAAAAACCAAACACCGTATATTCTCACTCATAGGTGGGAATTGAACAATGAGAACACATGGACACAGGAAGGGGAACATCACACTCTGGGGACTGTTGTGGGGTGGGAGGAGGGGGGAGGGATAGCTTTAGGAGATATACCTAATGCTAAATGACCAGTTAATGGGTGCAGCACACCAGCATGGCACATGTATACATATGTAACTAACCTGCACATTGTGCACATGTACCCTAAAACTTAAAGTATAATAATAATAAAATAAAAAGCAGTACATTAAAAAAAAATCACATCAAACTTGCCATCTTATTATTTCATTGCCTAGTTCTTACAGAATAACAACTTTGTATGTAATCCCTGATTTTATGATTTATGTTATTAGCCATAGTTACCAGCTCTAGTTATTTGCCCAAATAGGGCTCACATGCCTTTGACATCTGGACTAGGAAAATGACCCTCAAGCACAGTCTGGCTTTTTGTGGCTACTATAATTCAATAGTTTATTGGGATTTGATGAGAAGAGATGCTAACACTTAAGAGTCCTTAAATATTTTAAATAATTTTGTCTTTGAGATATCTGCAACAGGACTGCCTTACATGATACTTGCCTACAGATATTACTCTTTTCAGAAAGAGTTTACTAAATATGTATTAATACATTAAAAATGTTATGGTAATTTTAGGCCTGATAAGTTACAGAAAATTCATATTTAGCATTCCTTGGCCTCAGATGATAAACTCTTCTCACTGTATATTTAAATTAAAACACTGAAGTAGAGAAAAATGCTGATATTGTGCTTGACATGTGAATAATGATGCTTTGCCCTAAAACCATAACTAGTTTGTTTACATATATCTGTGCAATTACTAGTAATTGTCATACCAAGATAGCCCAAGTACAAAAATTAGAAATTGTGTTTAATCTTATTACTGTTCTCATTATGTTTATTTTTTGCATAAACATTATAATGAAAAAAGTTAAAGGAAAATAAAAATAATTATATTCACTTTTTATATCTTCTGATATAGCTATATTATTTTGAGTAAAAATATGTGTATCTATGAGTTAGATTACGATATACAATTCTAACTTAAAAGTATAAAATTCCCAGAGAGGGTTCAATTCAGAGAAACCAAATGTTTCTCCACATGCTTCTAAAAAAAGTAAAAAAGTGATGTAGGCAACTTGAAACATTTAATAGTAAGACCAATAATAATCAAAATTAAGTTTATGGGACCTAAAGTATTTCTCAAGATTTGTTTAATAAAAATATCAGACAAAATATTTTATTCATTTTGTACTATAAAGTTTAAATAGTTTGTCTAAGAAAGAATCTTTTAACTCAAGTAAGAAACCAATGATTTTATGTTGACATATGTTTACTCTTCAGATCATTAGCCTGAAAACGCTTTTTAGTGGGTCACACGAGCTAGTGCAAATCTACCATTAGCTCTTAAGCACTTCAGCATTTGTAAAACTGCTGAAGTGTAACATATGTTTTTATTTTCCTGTAATGAAAGGTGGAATATTTGCTAAAGAATCTTAATGCACCAACTGATGATGCAAGGATATTATAGGCTAATTCTAACTTCGGTGACTACTATAAAATAATCTTTTCATATAATACAATAAATCTAGTGTTATTCTTACAGAAAACAATTGCTTGCCACCAACTTCAAACAGTATTCAAATATTAATAACAAATGCATTGGAGGGTGTATCATTTAAAGTAAAAATATTAAACTTCAAATTACTGTTCTTCAAATAAAACGTAGATTATAGAATCTATTTCTATAATACAAAGGCCAAAAGACTATTAATCCAGCCTCTCATGTTAGGAAATGTTAGCATTTACAAATGCAAAAAGGATTTTGTTATCTTAATTCACTCATCTCCGAGTGAGTTGGTGTATTTAAATGAGCATAACTCTGGGAAATATCTTATTTTTCACAGAATGAATATTAAAAGTACATAATGCCATACATATAACACTGATAAAACAGATTATTTATTTTTTTATTTTTTTGAGATGGAGTCTTGCTCTGTCGCCCAGGCTGGAGTGCAGTGGCGTGATCTCGGCTCACTGTAAGCTCCGCCTCCCAGGTTCACGTCATTCTCCTGCCTCAGCCTCCCGAGTAGCTGGGACTACAGGTGCCCGCCACCACACCGGGCTATTTTTTGTATTTTTAGTAGAGACAGGGTTTCACCGTGTTAGCCAGGATGGTCTCGAACTCCTGACCTCGTGATCTGCCCGCCTCAGCCTCCCAGAGTGCTGGCATTACAGGTGTGAACCACCATGCCAGGTCTGATAAAATGGATTCTTAAGACATGAACTTATAATTTTATAACAGTCTTAATTATTTTGAATGCAAGGTATTGAACTGAAATGTTATCTAATATATATGTGGTATCAGTTTGGAAAGGATGCTAGAATCTCTCATAAGAAAGATAAAAGGATAAATCTTAGTGAAGAACATGGAGAGAGCTACTCTTCAATGAAAATGGATACCATGAAATTGAAAACCATCAGAGCTCTCTCTTCTTGTTTAAATCTCTGCTTTTTTTCAACACGGTTGTATTAGTCCATTTTCATATTGCTATAAAGACATTCCTAAGACCAGATAATTTATGGAGAAAAGCTGTTTAATTAACTCACATTTCTGCACGCTATACTAGTGGCATGGCTGGGATGGCAGGGTAGGCCTCAGGAAACTTATAATCATGGAAGACGGCAAAAGGAAAGTAGGCACATCTTCATATGGAAGAGCAGGAGAAAGAGGAAGAAGGGGGAAGTGCTACACACTTTTAAACAACCAAATCTCATGAGAACTCAGTCACTATCACAAGAGCAGCAAGGGAGAAATCCACCTCCTTGATCCATTTGCCTCCTACCGTGGCCCTCCCCCAACACTGGGGATTACAATTTGACATGAGATTTGGGTGGGAACCCAGAGCCAAACTATATCAATGGTTGTTTTATTTGTTTCCATTACAGGTGAAGTTTTTATAAATATGTGTGATAATGACAAACTAAATGGTCTGAACTTCACATATACCTATTCCTTAAAGGAAGTTTTTTAATATATTGATTTAAATAATCCAGGAATGCTTTTAGTTAGTGTCTAGATTTTATTAAAATAGATGAGATTTTTAAGAATATGGTAACACCTATTTGATATATATGCTGTCAGTGACAGGAGAAAAATTTTACCAAAAGGACAGTTTTCATGCCAGTATTCATGAGGAAGTTTGACCAGACAAAACAATGTAAGTGGCCTACAATATTCTGACACAACAACCCTAAACCTTAATCTCAAAATCACCAAATATTCCTAATTTACATTTTTCTTTTTTGTACTAACAGATAGCTTAAGATGGTAACTTCATTTTGTTACTAATAATTTATTGATTATATGGGAGAAATAAAATGTTTATCTTCACTAAGAAATCAGAAAATATACTTTGGTCATGGAGAAATATAGATATAGATAAAATGTTTATATTTTGTGAACATAATTCTTTTCAAAAATTGTCATATTTTACTTTCCTTTCACAACATCATAATTCCTCACGGAAAAAAAAATGTATATGGAATGAATAAACTACTTCACAGAATCTGTTGACAAATTTAGGTATATATTTGTGATATTAATTGAAAAAACATAGCAGTGCCTGCTGAAAGTGGTCACTATGTTTATTTTTTGTCAAAAATATTTGAGTTGCCTTAGAAAATTATAAAGTTCAAATACAAAAGATAAGAATTTTTTTCTTTTATTCCTAATATGGTTCAAGTTTATCCTTAAATAACAATAGAAAACTGAAAGCATTAATAGATGACAATAACCATATGTAATGGTGGAAAATCAGCAGGGAGAACTCTCATGCTCAATAATATATATGTCTGAATATCTATCTCTATATATTTTTAGAGACAGGGTCTCACTCTGTGACCCAGGCTAGTGTGTATTGACACAATCACACCTCACTATAAACTCGAAATCCAGGACCCAAAAGATCCTCTCACCTAAGCCTCCTAAAATCCTAAGATTACAAACATGAGCCACCATGTCCGGCCTAATGTATATTTTTGGGTTATATCTGAATTAGACCTATTTGGTTGTCATTGCAAGAGGGTTTCTTTTTTTACAAGATTATTTATCTGATGATGAATCAAAGTGTAATGTATGGTAATAAGTCATAGTGCTAGGACCTAAGTGATGCAGGATTTCTCTAGGGCCCTTTGCCGGAATCATGAAAGGAGCGCCCCAACTATTCAGCCCACTGTGCTCAACCCTTTGTGGGAGGGAGCACATGAGTGAGCAAGTGCAGAATCTGGCCAGCTGCTCCAGGCACTGACACAGGAGCACACTCCATGTGGGGCCTGTGGCCTGATCAGCCATGTGGTCTTGAGGAGAACATAGCAGTGCCCAGGTGAGGATGCCCACAACCCTGAAGCCCCAGAGCAGGTGTTACAGTGCTCCTTTAGTTCAAGCATCCACAGATGGCAGTGTATTATTAGCTGCTGAGTTGGCTCCTTGCCTCATCATGTGGGTTGGCTGCCCTCTGCTGGTGAGGGCAAAGGACTGGTGTGACAGCCTTTCTGGGTATCAGCACTTGGTGGGTTCTGAGCTCTTGCCCTGTGTCCAAGAAGAATGAGGTCACATGGATGATTAAAGGATGGTGAAGGTGGAGACTTTTATTGAGTGATGAAATGGCTCTCAGCAGAGAGGGGAGCTGGAGAGGGGACAGGAAGGGAAGGTCGTCTTTCCTAAAGTCAGGTTGTCTCTTCCCTGAAGTCAGGCCATCTCCTTCTCTACTAACTGAGTCTGGGATCTTTATAAGCACAGGATGGTGAGTGCATGGAGATTGGTTTGTGAGTATGCAGAAAAGGTTAAAGCAAAGACACTACTCAAAGATTGGCATGACAGTATAGAAAACCAATAAGAAAAGGGCAAGTATATTTAAAATAGGTGAAGGGTGGGGGTCAATCAGAAAAAAGCAATGCTAAACAGGAAGACAAGTTCTCAGTCCAGTCCAAGGATTTAACTTGTAGCTTGGTTTTCAGGCTTTAAAGTTTTTTGGTTTGGAGTTGGGGTTTCACCAAGTACCCGCACCTATCTGCCTGGGCATTTGGCTGCCTCCTGTCTCTATCATAAAGGCATATAAATATTAACACATACGTATTTGTTTTACGATTTAATTTTTAATTTTATGGGTATATTGTAGGTGTATATATTTATAAAGTACCTGATATGTTTTTATACAGGCACGCAATGCATAATAATCACATTATGGGAAATGGCATATACATTCCCTCAAGTATTTATCCTTTGTGCTACAAACAATCCAACTGTACTCTTTTAATTATTTTAAAAGGTACAATTAACACATTTTGATTATAGTCACCTTGTTGTGCTATCAAATACTAAGTCTCATTCATTCTTTCTAACTATTTTTTTTTGTACCTGTTAACCTTCCAAAACCCACCTTGCTCCAGTTAACCTTACCAGCATCTGGTAACCATCATTTTACTCTCTGTTTGTATGAGTTAAATTATTTTGATTTTTAGATTCCCCAAATAAGTGAGAACATGCAATATTTGTCTTTCTGTGTCTGGCTTATTTCACTTAACATAATGACTTCCAGTTCCACCCATGTTGTTGCAAACGACAGAATCTCATTTTTTATGGTTGAACAGTACTGTATTGTGTATATCTACCACACTTTCTTTCTTTATTCATCTGTTAGTGAACACTTAGGTTGCTTCCAAATTTTTGCAATTGTGAACAGTGCTGCAACAAACTTGGGAGTGCTAATATCTCTTCAAAATATTGATTTCCTTTCTTTTGAGTATATACCCAGGAGTGAAATTCCTGGATCATATCATTGCTTTATTTTTAGTTTTTTAACTAACTTCCAAACTGTTCTCCATAGTTGTTGTACTAATTTACACTCCCATCAGCACTGTACAAGCTTTCCTTTTTCTCCACATTCTCACCAGCATTTGTCATTGCCTGTCTTTTGTATAGAGTCCATTTTAACTGGGTGAGATGGTATCACATTGTAGTTTGATATACACTACTCTGATGATGAATGATGTTGAGCACATTTTCGTATGCCTGTTTCTCATTTGCACATCTTGTTTTGAGAAATGGCTATTCAAATATTTTACCATTTTTAAATTGGATTATGATATTTCTTTCCTATACAGCTTCTTGAGCTCCTCATATACTCTGGTTATTAATCCCTCATCAAATGGGTAGTTTGCAAATATTTCCTCCCATTCTGTGGGTTGTCTCTTCCCTTTATTGTTTCTTTTGCTGTGCAGAAGCTTTTTAACTTGATGTGATCCCATTTGTCAATTTTTACTTTGATTGCCTGTGCTTGTGTGGTATTACTCAGGAAATTTTTGCCAAGACTAAAATTTTTCCTGGAGAGTTTCTCCATTTTGTGTGTGTGTGTGTGTGTGTGTGTGTGTTGTAGTAGTTCCATAGTTTGAGGTCTTAGATTTAAGTCTTTAATCCATGCTGATTTGATTTTTCTATATGTACTTTCAGTCTTTTGCCTGTGGATATACAGTATTCTCAGCACCATTTATTGAAGAGACTGTCTTTTCACCAGTGTGTGTTCTTGGCACCTTTGTCAAAAATGAGTTCATTGTAGCGGTGTAACACATACCTGTTTCCCTTTGAATCCTCTCAGCAATGTGAGGATTGTAAAATAAACTCCCTCTTAATGTTTGGATAGCACTTACTTTGAGTCAACCCCCAACACACACACTTATTTACTTAAAACTCTTCTTCTCAGAATCATTCTTTCCAGAATTCCTTTTACTTAATATTTCCAAAAACTCAAGGGTTATTAATCTGTTCTGTTTAGTCACTGGCATGCCCATCACTCTGCCCATTTGCTTCAAGGGTACTGGTGCAGGTGTTCTTAGTTTCTAGCGATTCCTGAAATTCTGAAGAATACCACTTTCCCCAGTACTAAACTCACATGTGGATCCTTGATCTTTAGAGTGGAATTCTTCCAGGTTATATTTCTGTGGGCCTTTCAACCTATAATGACACAATTAGTCTGGCACAGAACACCTTGTGTAAAATCTGCACTTTGGCTGAAACTACACTTCCTTTTTAACAATAAAGACTGGCCTCTTATTGCATACCTTATCTCAATGTCTGTGTGGTTTTTTCTAGATGACAGATTGTTCAGGCCTACATCAGTCTATGAACATTTTCAGATTATTTGAACAGCAATGGTAAATGCATAACTTCCTTTTCTGTCAGATACTACTATGAACCATGCAATTAGATCAACAAGTGGTATAAAGTTAGTGGCAACAGAAATCGCTCACCTCTAACTGTACTCTGGTTCTCTTCATAATTTCCTCACATGGTAAATATCCCTAACTGCCTCCAATAGGTAAATGAATAAATAAACTCTTGTATACAGAAGAATGCTATTCTGCACTAAAAAAGAAATAGTTTTAGTACACCTAGTGTTTTGGATGTATCTCAAAGGAATTTTGCTGAGTAAAAGATGTCAGTCACAAAAGTTACATATCTTATTTTCCTATTATTCAACATTCTCAAAAAGCCAAAATTATAATGACAGAGATCAGAAAAGTGGTTGCAAGAGGACAGGGTTGAAGGGATAGCATAATAGAGTTATTAATGATGAATGAATTGTTCTGTGTCCTGATTGTGGCAGTTCTAATACCAAGGTATCTAAATGCTAAAATTCAGTAATAAATTCAACCAAAAAGAAACTTGAGTTTCATAATGTGAAAATATTTAGAAAAGAATAATGAAAGAGAACACAGTTGAGAGGAAACAAATAAACAAAAAAATCCCCCAGAAAGTTTAAAATAATAATAAAGTCATTAAAATTAATGACCTTACATTTATAGAAACAAGAGATGTGTCAGATTTATCATTAATCTGGGGATAATAAAGGCTGAATCTTATACAATTTTTTTGATTAGAAAGTGAAGAGAATTATTTGCATTCCTTTTAAAGCACTTGATAATACCTAGAAAAATTTCTTTGTGCCAATTTCTGATGGTAAATATTTTTATATGTGCTTCTGTAGATCATTCACTGATAACCACAGAAACACTGACAGTAAAAAGCAATTTTGGCCAAGCACAGTGGCTCACGCCTGTGATCCCAGCACTTTGGGAGGCTGAGGCGGGTGGATCATGAGGTCAGGCATTTGAGACCAGCCTGGCCAACATAGTGAAACTCTGTCTCTACTAAAAATACAAAAAATCAGCTGGGCATGGTGATGGGTGCCTGTAATCCCAGCTACTTGGGCGCCTGTAATCCCAGCTACCCGGGAGGCTGAGGCAGGAGAATGCTGAGGTGGTGGTTGCAGTGGGCTGAGATCGAGCCACTGCACTCCAGCCTAGGCAACAGTATGAGACTCCGTCTCAAAAAAATAATAATAATAATAATTAGTAATGAATGTTCTAATTTTATATTTATACTCACATTTTATTCTTATACAAATGCCTTGACTCAGGTCTATTCATGTCTGTGTTACAAAGAAATATGAAGAGATTTTATTCATAATCACCCCAATCACCCATTTTAAATAATTGATTTAGGACTAATATAGGCAGATAATATAAATATTTTGTGTCTGTGTAGCTGTTTTTATTACATTTGGCTGTAATTTATGATACCTTGATGCAGCTGTTTTGTACTAAGTGTAAATTAGTTTCAGATAACATATTCTTTCAAGAAATGTCATCTTACGTGCCAAAGACAAACACTGTGCAAAATAATTTACCTTCTCTAGGTAAATGGTAGTATCTCCATAAGTATCAGAATTAACTTCCATGAAGAGTTCAATGATGATGACAGTATTAGTAATAATATTTATAGCTAAGATTAGTTTTGATGCTATTGGATGCTACTTTGTGTTTCGGTTTTTGTTACAGTACATTCTCACAACAGTTTTATGGTTTATTAATATTTCCCTTTTGTAAAAGGAAATATGAGCTACGGAGGGTTAAAGCTCTCAGGGTTTCACACATTGTCAATGTGTACCCAAAACATTAATCTAGGCTTTCTTATTCACACTTGAATAATTTCTAAACTAGTTTCCTGAACTTGGTTCTTAAATACCTATTTCAAACTAACTAAACTTTGAACATAAAGTAATGCCTCCACTTACAGTGTTAAATCTCTTGATTTATTTTTACACTGTTAATTCATTTCATACAGATGTCTATTTTTTCCTTTAAATATATATATATATTCCATATCATTCAGAATGTTCTGGGGTCTCTGCTTATTGATTTTGTAATTAGTTTTTATATTAACTTCCTTTTAAAATAATTTGTTTAATGTGTTATTTTAGCTTTTCTATTCTACATTAATTTTGTTTCTTGTGTGTGTTAGTCTGTTATGTATCTATACCTACAGAATGTTTTGGAATTTGCTTTTGCAAAACAGGTTTCAGGACCAAAGCAATTTTATTTTTACTTCTATGTTTGGACTTCTTATATCACCAAGTAGCATAAATTTAGAATGCTCTATGCTGTCTTTTAAATTAAGTTTGTGTTTTAAATTTCTCTTTTGTGACTTTTATTTTCCTAATCATGTCTTGGATGGATGAAAAACTACATTTCTGCTTTCTTTGGCCAGTTTAGGAAGATATTTTTCTAAGTCTAGTTTCACAGAAAGTAGTTTTTTTCATGCTTCTAGCCTTTGACGAGGGGATTAGTTCTCAAAATTTCCCAGTAGATTTTAGAAATATTTTAGTGAATATTATCATATAAGCCTAGACTCTAGAACAGTAACTTTGAAATCATAAGAAATTTTCACTTATAATGTAATCTAGGACACACACACACACACACACACGCAACCACGTTTCCAAAATCAAAACTTACCTTTACCATAGAAGATTCACTCTGACAAATGCTGCTAAGTATAATTTACAAAAGGTTGACAAACAACGGCACTCATTAAAATAAAAAATAAACATGTTTTAATGATTGTACTGGCCTTATTAATAAAAGACCTAATAAAACGCTAAGACAGTTTCAAATGACAGTTTGAAAAATAAACTATGAATAACAAATTGTATAAAGAACTATTAGGGTAAGATCTCTGAGTAATATACAGAATTGATTAATGATCTACACAGAGACAGTAACTTTTATGGTTGTTGTATCTACTGCACTTCTGATATTTTCATCTATCCTAGATAAAAATCTACAAGTTAACTTCTAATTGCATAAACGCCATTAGAAAATAGCCCATGCAATAAAAAGTAAACTAAACTTCTACCCAATAATAATTTAATTCAAGAATACCCCAACATAATTTAATTTAATGCCCTGAGACTAATTTAAGCAATTTATTTTGACTAATTCTAATATTTATTTTTTTCTTCTGACATAACCGACTAAATTGATTTCAGTAATCTCTGATGGGCCAGAATACTCAGATTAAAAAAATAGTGCTGAAACCTAAACTATATCTGATACCCTGGCCTGCTATGACATTACTTTTATTTATCTCATAATCTTCTCTTTTTCTCTTTAATTCTAGAAATTAAGATTTTTTTCCTTTTTCCACTGTGAAAGATTATTTTAAAAACATTTTACCGAGAATTTCTATGTATTTTTGATATGCCTAGGAGGGGTCCATTCTACATTAGCTTCATGTGTCGTGTCGCTAGGTGCCCTAGCCATCTATTTCCCACATTTCAGGCTAATTGCTTCAGACTTCATAGCTCAGTTGGAACACAGAGTGAGAGGATCATCAAACAGATGGATTTTGATCCTCCCACAAAGAGAATTATGGCCCCTGAAAATATATTTTATGCTATATTTAAAATTCAATCTCTTTCTCTTCTACTGCTTTAAATTCAGGGAAGTCTAGTCACATTATTTATGTAATCAAACTATGAAAAATTGTGGGGTCAGTAAAGATCTGATAAATGGAAAAAGTAAATGGAATCATATTCTTTCCTTTTTAAATGAGTTTTATAATTTAAAAAATTGTGTTTGGAGGATAGATCTGGTTTCTTATTAAATAAAAGATTGCAAAGAAATATAAACAAAAGTTTAGTAAAATGCTTTGAAGTTAAGTATATATATCATATTTTATATATTATCTCAAATTTTAATAAGTACAGCTTCATTATTCCAGTGAAATTATTTTTTAACAGATCTTGGCTAAATCTAAAAATCCAACTTTGCCATTTCAGCATTAGCCTTATTTGAGTTTGCCTAACAATAGTAGTTGTTCATGGTGATATTACATAACAACCACTAAAAAACTCTATCAAGTTTCTACAAAAACACACAACGAAGAAAGTTGTAAAAATGAGCAACACAGTGACTTGTTATTAAGAAAAAAGTTAAGTATTCTCATCTCTGCTTGTCACATAAGGAAATGAGTTGCTCTAGGAATCAAAGTATTTAATGTGTTATTTTGCAAAACATTGTCAATTCTTTAGTATAAACATCTGTCTTCTGACACCCAAGGCAAAAGTAGTGTGCTTTCTGGAAAAAAAAAAAAAAGAAAAGCCTTTATTAAAATGTAAAATTGCTGGACTTTTAGAGCAAGATAGAGGAACACGTATTTGTTCATCCAATTCTCCATTTTCAAGTAGGCATCCAATCTTATTAGATAAAACAAAAATTCCCTTTTTATTCTGTTATTTAGAATACTGCAGTGATAGTTAACATACCATTTTTTTGTTGTTGTTTCTTTACCCTTTTTGCACTGTTAGTTTGTGAGTAAGGCTTAACAATAATCACCCCAAATCATAAAAGATCACCAAAACATGTGAAGATATTTGCTGGAAGCATTTGGATACATATATAAGTTGACCTTTTAAATTGTTATTTTATTAACTTTAAAGTTGCTTTAAAAAAGAGCAATGCTTCTTCCCCCATAAAGGAAGAAGCGAAAGTCTATTCTAATTTTTGAATATTTTGATAAAATTTGTTGTCCAAAGAGTAAAAAAAAATCTCCAAAGAAGTTCTTTATACAATTGCTTTTTAAGCTGTCAAATATTTATGTAGTTACTTCAACTCTTTTTTGAAAATGTGTCCTTTGTTGACATACTGTGTCATTTTGCTGTGACCTATTTGTCTTTCTTTCATTGTATATGAAGTAATTCATTATGTATAATGGAAGCCCACTTTGTAAACAGAATAAATAATAGAATAATTTGAATAGCATCGGTTTTTAATATTTTGTAAATTGCCTTTCTGTGTCTATAAAAAGGGAAAAAGGAAATGTGAATGACTTGAAATAATGAAAAATAAAGTTATATCTCAAGATGTACATTTTATGTACATTTTATGTGTACTAAAATGCATTACTGGGGTCTTGGCTTTCACCAGAACACGGGGGAACATGTTTTTTTCATCATCTATGTTACTGTTTATTTTTAACTAAAATACTATGAAAAGTGAAAATGTATAAGTATAAAAAATTTACTCATGTCTTGACTGCTTTTCAATTCTAGAGACTATTAGTTTTTTATAAGAATGAAAAGAAACAATCTAAATTACATTTGATTTAGTCATTTAACTGGCTGAGGAAAGTAATATACTAATTGACCATTAGCAGTAAACACTATCTTGTTTATTAATTCCTAGATTTATAGCTTTATAAAATACTCTTTATACTTAGCAGTGTAACATATGCTTTTCATTTAATGGCTAGAAAGCATTTATCTGCTACAAATTATTTTTTATTACAAATATTCCAAAATAATATGCCCATAAAAAACTCTGCCTGTACTCATCTCCTCATCTGTTTTTTGGAGTAAAGCTTTAATCCACAGAGAAAAGGGCAAAACAAAACAAAACCCAAAAAGTTACAGTCTCAGTGCAGAAGAGAAATCCACCTCATCCAGGAAAAGGGAAGGAATATGTGCTTGGCACAGTGATACATGTGTGGAGGAACAGTAACATTCGTGAAAGCCATACACTTGATAAACAGGTTTACAGTACCTAGTGAGAGGTGACAGCATGCTGGCAGCCCTCAGTCGCTCTCGGCGCCTCCTCTGCCTGGGCTCCCACTTTGGCGGCACTTGAGGAGCCTTTCAGCCCGCCGCTGCACTGTGAGAGCCCCTTCCTGGGCTGGCCTAGGCCGGAGCTGGCTCCCTCAGCTTGCAGGGAGGTGTGGAGGGAGAGGCGCGAGCGTGAACCCAGGCTGCGCGCTGCGCCTGCGGGCCAGCTGGAGTTCCGGGTGGGCGTGGGCTTGGCGGCCCCGTACTGGGAGCAGCCGGCAGGCCCTGCCGGCCCCGGCAATGAGCGGCTTAGCACCTGGGCCAGCGGCTGCAGAGGGTGTGCTGGGTCCCCCAGCAGTGCCGGCCCACGGGCGCTGCCCTCGATTTCTCGCCAGGCCTTAGCTGCCTTCCCGCGGGGCAGGGGTCAGGACCTGCAGCCCGCCATGACTGAGCCTCCCCGCCCTCCTCCGTGGGCTCCTGTGCGGGAGGGAGCCTCCCCGACGATCGCCGCCCCCGCTTCACGGCGCCCAGTCCCATCGACCACCCAAGGGCTGAGGAGTGCAGGCGCATGGCCCGGGACTTGCAGGCAGCTCCACCTGCAGCCCCAGTGTGAGATCCACTGGGTGAAGCCAGCTGGTCTCCTGAGTCTAGTGGGAACTTGGAGAACCTTTATGTCTAGCTAAGGGATTGTAAATACACGAATCAGCGCTCTGTCTCTAGCTCAAGGTTTGTAAACACACCAATCAGCACCCTGTGTCTAGCTCAGGGTTTGTGAATGCACCAATCGACACTCTGTATCTAGCTACTCTGGTGGGGACTTGGAGAACCTCTGTGTGGACAGTCTATATCTAGCTAATCTAGTGGGGACATGGAGAACCTTTGTGTCTAGCTCAGGGATTGTAAATGCACCAGTCAGCACCCTGTCAAAACAGACTACTCAGCTCTCTGTAAAATGCACCAATCAGCAGGATGTGGGTGGGGCCAGATAAGAATAAAAGCAGGCTGCCTGAGCCACCAGTGGCAACCCTCTGGGGTCCCCTTGCACGCTGTGGAAGCTTTATTGTTTCACTCTTTGCAATAAATCTTGCTGCTGCTCACTCTTTGGGTCCACACTGCCTTTATGAGCTGTAACACTCACGATGAAGTTCTGCAGCTTCACTCCTGAAGCCAGCGACACCACAAACCCACCAGGAGGAAGGAACAACTCCAGATGCACCTCCTTAAGAGCTGTGACACTCACCGCGAAGGTCCGCAGCTTCACTCCTGAGCCGGCGAGACCACGAACCCCACCAGAAGGAAGAAACTCTGAACACCTCCGAACATCAGAAGGAACAAACTCTGGACACGCTGCCTTTAGGAACTGTAACACTCACCGCGAGGGTCCCCGGCTTCATTCTTGAAGTCAGTGAGACCAAAATCCCACCAATTCTGGACACACTAGGAAGACTGAGACCCAATTGGACCATCAAAGAACGACCCAATCACCAGCACAAAGCTAATAAACTTGTAAGCTTTCAATACAAATAACGTTGGAACATAGCTAGGAAGACTTCAGGAGACAGATTCTCTTTGCAGAGTCTCTGGGAGGTAAGACCCTAACATAAATAGGGAGTTATAAACTATGCATTACTAGAGATATCATAAATTATACTGTGATTTTTTTTTTGTGTATGTGGTTTGTTTTTTTGTTTTGTTGTCTTTTTTTGTTGTTGTTTGAGACGGAGTCTCGCTCTGTCGCCCAGGCTGGAGTGCAGTGGCGCGATCTCGGCTCACTGCAAGCTCCGCCTCCCAGGTTCACGCCATTCCTACCTCAGCCTCCGGAGTAGCTGGGACTACAGGCGCCTGCCACAGTGCCCGGCTAAGTTTTTGTATTTTTAGTAGAGGCGGGGTTTCACCGTGTTAGCCAGGATGGTCTCGATTTCCTGACTTGGTGATCTGCCCGCCTCGGCCTCCCAAAGTGCTGGGTTTACAGGCCTTAGAGCCACCGCACCCGGCCTATATACTGTGATATGTTTTTATAGTGTATGTGTATGTGTAGGGAAATGTCATATACGTATAGTGTATGTGTAGGGAAATACATATAGTGTATGTGTAGGGAAATGTCAGACAACAGGGGAAGAAAAGAATGATTTGGGAATGTAAGGTTCTTCTACATGTGCAGCAATTTCGTATTATTTGAAGGAGGTGTCAGACCACTTTATAATACATATTATAAATCCTAAGACACACACACACACAGAGAATTTTTAAAAATAAGCTTAAATAATAACCCAATAAATTAGACAAATAAAATAGTTAAAATTGATTAATCACAGAGAAAGCCACAAAATAGGAAAAGAACAACAAAGAATAAAGGGAACAGATAGTAAACTGGTAGCAGAATGGTATGATTTTTTTTAAGTACATAGATGGGCATAATAGTAAAGTAAGTTCTCGTAAGCCATACCCAAATATATACTGTTGTATTAGTCCGTTCTTGCATTGCTATCAAGAAATGCTGGAGACTGGGTAATTTATAAAGAAAAATGGTTTAATTAGCTCACTGTTCTGCAGGTTAGCTTCTTCTTGAGTTCTGGTCGGGGGCCGCTCAGGACACTTTCAATCATGGTGGAAGGCAAAGGGGAAGCAAGCACCTCACATGGCCGGAGCAGGATAAAGAGAGAGAGGGGAGGTGATACACACTTTTAAACAGCCAGATCTCATGAGAATTCTGTCACAAGAACAGCACTAGGGGAATGGTGTTAAACCATGAGAAATCACCCGTCTGATTCAGTCACCTTCCGCCAGGCCCCAACTCCAGCGTTGAGGATTACATTTCAACAGGAGATTTGGATAGGGACAGAGATCCAAACCGTATCACCTGGTATCAATAAATCCATTTAAAATATCAACACATAGATAAGTTAAAAGAAGGGAGAAAAGGCCACGCGCGGTGGCTCATGCCTGTAATCCCAGCCCCTTGGGAGGCTGAGTTGGGCAGATCACCTGAGATCAGGAGTTCAAGATCAGCCTGACCAACATGGAGAAACCCCATCTCTACTGAAAATATAAAAATTAGCCGGTGTGGTGGTGCATGCCTGTAATCCCAGCTACTTGGGAGGCTGAGGCAGGAGAGTTGCTTGATTCCAGGACGCAGAGGTTGTGGTATGCAGAGATCATGCCATTGCACTCCAGCCTGGGCAACAAGAGCGAAACTCCGTCTCAAAGAAAAAAAAGAAAAGGGAGAAGAAAAATACCATTTAATCACACACACACACACACACACACACACACACACACGTATATATATATATGTATATATGTGTATATGTGTATATGTGTATATATGTGTATATGTGTATATGTGTGTATATATGTATATATGTGTATATGTGTATATATGTGTATATGTGTATATATGTATATGTGTATATGTGTATATATGTATATGTGTATATATGTATATGTGTATATATATGTATATGTGTATATATGTATATATATACACACATAATTTCCAGCATAAGCAATATAGTGAGACCCTATCTCTATAAAAAATTTAAAAATTAGCCCAGTACGGTGGTATGTGCCTATAGCTCTAGCTACTGGGAAGCTAAGGCAGGAGAATTGCTTAAGCCCAGAATTTTAAGGCTGCAGTGAACTATGATTGTGCTGCTGCACTACAGCTTGGGTGACAGAGCAAGACTTTGTCTGAAAATAGATAGATAAATAAATTGAATCAACCTTAAATAGACAGAACCAAGTCAAGATGGTTTCACTAGTGAATTAAAGTAGAAGTAATAGTAATTTTCAATAATCTCTACCAAAAAGTAGAACCAGAATGATCACTTCCTAATTCATTCTGTGAGGTCAGGATTACCCTAATACCAAAACCAAATAATGTCATCTCAAGAAACCAAAACTGCCAGCTGAATATCTCTCATGAATACAGACACAAAGCACATTTAACAATATTTATACCATAGCCACGTGGCATTTATTACTTCTAAGGAAATCTCATTCTACATTTGAAACTTAATCCTTATAATTCACTGTATCAACAAGCTCAACAAGAAAAATGATAATATAAAATGAAGCAAATGAAACTGTTATCAATATCAAACAGCCATAAATGTTACAAACTCTCAGCAAACTGTTACAGGAAATTTCCTCAATTTGATAAAGAATATCTACAAAAAGCCTACAGCTAATATTATACTTAATAGTGAGACACAATGATTTTCTCCTAAGATCAAAAACAATGCTAAGAAAATAGTTTTCAAATGCTATTAACATACACACATACGTACACACACACACACACAGGTACCTATGTGAGGAGATGGATGTGTTAATCCCCTTGACTGTAATAATCATTTTGTTATATATTTGTATATCAAAATAGTGTTTCACACCACACACACACAGAGATATATGTGTATGTGTGGTATAAAACATGATATGTACATATTATATATATAATACATATAATACATATATTTATAAAATGGAAAAAATGAAAACAAACAAAAAAGAACAAGGCTAGGATGTCCTATCTTATCACAACTATTCAACTTCCTATTGAAAGTTTTAGCTGCTAAAATTAGACAAGAAAAAAAGAACAAAAATGTGTACATATTAAAAAGCAAGAAACAAAACGCATTATTTACCTTATTTCTGGATAATATAATTGTTTATGCAGAAATCCTCAAATAGCCGGGCCCAGTGGCTCATGCCTGTAATCCCAGCACTTTGGGAGGCCGAGGCGGCAGATAATGAGGTCAGGAGATCGAGACCATCCTGACTAACACGGTGAAACCCCGCCTTTACTAAAAAAAAAAAAAAAAAAAAAATTAGCCAGGCGTGGTGTGGGGGGCGCCCGTAGTCCCACCTATTCAGGAGGCTGAGGCAGGAGAATGGCGCGAACTCGGGAGGCAGAGCTTGCAATGAGCCGAGATTGCGCCACTGCACTCCAGCCTGGGTGACAGAGGGAGCCTCCATCTCAAAAAAGAAAAAAAAAAAAGAAAGAGAAATCCTCAAATAATTACCTGAAATTTTACTAAACTGAGAATGAGTTTCACGAGAGAGAATGATATAAGGTGAATATAGAAAAATAGTTTTCTTATATACCTGCATTAACAATGTGGTTTTACATCTAAAAAGAATGACATTTACATAGCAACACCACCGCCACAATGAAGTCTTTAGGTCTAAATTTAACAAAATATGTATAGAATCTATATATGGAAAAATGTAAAATTCTGATTAAATAAATAAAAGATCTAAATTAATTAAATTATATGCATTTTATTGCATTGGAAGAATAAATTTTGTTAAGAAGTAATTTTTTTCCAATTGGAACTATAAATTCAAGGTCATGTCAGTCAAAAATCTCAGCCACTAGTTGTAGATATTCACAGATAGACTTAATGTTAACATAAAAAGGCAAAAAAAAAAAACTTGAGTAACTGGAATAAGTCTACAAAAAAGAGAGAGAGAGAAGAACAGAGTTAGAGAATTGGAAGATTCATACTACCTAAATAGAATTACTATAAATCTAAAGTAATTAAAGTACTGTATTAGCAAAGAATAAACCCATAGATGAATGGAACAGAATAGAAAGCACAGGAATAGATGTACACAAACATAGTAAACTAATTTTTGACCATGGTGAGATGATAATTAAATAGAAAAGAAATAATCTTTTTAATAACATTTCCTGAAATATTTGAAAGCCCATATGTAAAAAATGTTAACTTCTAAACAGCCTCATATTTTATACAAAAGTTTACTCAAAATGCTCACAGATTACTTGTAAATTTTAACACTATAACAAATCCAGAATAAAACAAAGGAGAAAATCTGTATGACCTTGGGTTTGGTGATGAGTTTTCAGATTCAACATCAAAAGTATAGCCAATGAAAGAAATAATTCATAAGTTGGACTGTATTAAAACTAAAACAATTTGCTTTGTGAAAGACACTAGTGGAATAAAAAGTCAAGCCACAAAATAATAGAAATTAAGTGCAAAACATGTATCTGAGAAGGAATTATATCTAAATGATACACACAAAACCCTTAAGGCTCAAAAGTAAGAAATTAACTCAATTAAAATTAAAATTTTAGCAAATAATATAAACAGATAACTCACTCAAAAAGATGCACAAGGGAAATATAAGCATCTGAAAAGATAATCAACATCTGTCTTTGTCAAGAAAGGCTGCTATATCAAAATAATACAGACTGGGTGGCCTGAACAACAGAAATTTATTTCTCACACTTCTGGAGGCTGTGAAGTACAAGATCAAGGTGATTGCCAGTTTTCTGCTGAGGAGTCTCTTCCTGGCTTGCAGACAGCTGCCTTCTCATTGTGTTCTGACATGATGGAAAAAGAGAGAGAGCAAGCTTTCTGATGTTTCTTCTTAGAAGGACATAATCCCATCATTAGGGCCACACCCTCATGACCTTATTTAATACTAATTACCTCCCAAAGGCTACATTTCCAAATACCATCACACTGGAGGTTAGGGTTTCCATGCATGAATTTTGGGAGGACAAAAATATTCAGTCCAGAATATCCCTTGTCATTAGGAAAATGCAAAGTGAAACAGCAATGAAATACCACTGCACTTTTATTTGAATGGCTAAAATCCAAAAACCTGAACAATATAGAAGAACTTTTATTCATTGCACATGGGTAATTACCATGGTTAAAATATTTGATAGTCTTTGGAATAATGTTTGGTAATTTCTCACAGAATTAAACATAGTCTTAACGTGACAAAGCAATCACACCCCAAAGCATTTACACACTGATCCAAAAACCTATGTCGACACAAAACACAGCACACAAATGTGGACTGGAGTTTTATGCATCATTATCAAAACTGGAAACAACCAAAATATCCTTTATTAGGTAACTGGTTACATAGTCATACAATGGATTACTATTCAGTGATATAAAGGAATGAGTTCTCAAGACATGTTAAGACATAGATAAATCTTCAATGTGTACGTTAAATGAAAGAAGCCAGCCTTAAAAGACTATATATGACTCAATTTATATCACACTTGGAAAACAGCACACTCCAGAGACAGTAAAAGTAAACAGATCAGTGGTTGCAGCATTCAGTGGGAACTGAGAATTTAAGTAGGTAATGTAAAGGGAATTTGTTAGGGCAGCAGAACAATTCTGAATAATACTTTAATAGTGGATACATATTGCTATACTTTTTTTACTCATGAAACTATTGAACAAAGAACACATCTCAATATATATAATATTAAAAAACAAATAAAAAAGTACACATTTGGCTGATCAATGTGTGTTTGAGGCTGACCTTATCAAATAAGCCCTTTAAAAGCAGAGTTCTTAACCACTTGCCACTGACAAGAAGTCTGAGATACTTCTTCCATCTGGCTCAAATCAAAGAACATATTGGTGTGGTGAGTTGCTTACTGGGGGCAACATCAGTGGAATTTGAGACTGGTCACTGGAAGATGAGAATAACCTCCACCTGGTAGCCAGCAAATAGGAGACCCTCATTCTACAACCACATAGAACTAGATTCTGTTAAAAAAAGATGAATTAATTTGGAGGTGAACTTTTCTTAAATGTCTCTAGAAGAAAATTCAGCCTGGCTAACACTCTGATTTCACTCTTGTGGTCCTCTGACCAGAAAACCTAGCTGCAACTTGCCAGACTCCTGACATTCAGAGCTCTGAGGTATTAAGTATGCTGTTTTCAGCTGCTAAATTTGTGGTGGTTTGCCACCATGAAGTAATAAAAAAAATTATATAATAAATAATTAAATATATTAGAGACAAGTAAATATTACTCCAAGAATTCCAAGTAGTGAAGGTAAAAGTAACGTGGGAAATAGAAAATCCCTATTAATACCTGCCTTACTTTGGTTTGTGCTGCTATAATGAAGTAACTGAGACTAGGTGATTTTAAAATAACATAAATGTATTGGCTTACAGTTATGGAGGCTGGGAATTCTATGGCCAAGGCTCCAGGAGGTTTGTCTGGTGGGGCTATTCTCTTCCTCCAGGATGGTGTCTTGCACACAGTGTTCTCTGGGTGGGAGGAAGCCTGGAGATTCTCATGACAGAGAGCAGAAGGGCAGAGAGATAGAGACAGAGAGGAAGAGAGAAAGTGAGAGAGTGCGTAATTCTGAAATCCTTTTTCTAACGTTATTAAACCCACCCATGTAGGTGGAGTTTTCATGGTCTAATTACCCCTTAAAGTTTCCCCCTTTATTCCATTATATTGGCAATTAAATTTCAGCATGAGTCTTTGGGAAGACAAAGGTTGATCATAGTGACACCACAGTAATAAGTGCTTCACATACATCCACAGTTGAATGATAAAATTAACACGCAAAAATTTAAGGAGAAACAAAATATTTTTGCAGATTCAAATTATCCTCGGCTGGGCACAGTGGTTCACGCCTGTAATACAGCACTTTGGGAGCCTGAGGTGCACAGATCACCTGAGGTCAGGAGTTTGAGACCAGCCTGGCCAACATGGTGAAATCCCATCTCTATTAAAAATACAAAAATTAGCTGGGCATGGTGGCACATGCCTGTAAACCCAGCTACTTGGGAGGCTAAGGCAGGAGAATAGCTTTTGAACCCGGAAGGCAGAGATTGCAGTGATCTGAGATTGTGCCACTGCACTGCAGCCTGAGCGACAGAGAAAGACTCCATCTCAAGAAGAAAAAAATCTTCTTCAAAATAATTATTAATTACTCTGATGTTTGTAACAAATGTCTACAGCTTCTTTGGTATTGCTCCTTCCAGGATATGGAGTTCAATTTTCTTCCCACTGAGTACAGGCTTGACTTACAACTCATTTACAATGAAATGGGTATGGACATAGAAAAATAGTAAATTTACTGTAGAGAAACTTGGCAGACATCACCTTATCCAGTGCGATAATCATTAATTAATTATTAATCAAAATTAGTATCATAAATCATGTCATATTGATACCATGTATTCCCTGATTGGATGAAATTATAAGGGCATCTTATTATTATTCTTCCCCAGAATAATCATAAGAAAACATCAGGCAAAATTAAATTGAAATACATTTTTAAAAATACTAGGTGTAGAGAGTCTTACCATATTTCCATTTATTCACCAGTCTGCCTTCTGGAGAAACAGGTGGGTCTGGGGGAAGAAGTCCACAGACTTAACCTAGAAGACCACATGCTTAACCAAGTAGTAGACCTGACTAAAGCCCTGTGACTGATGCTTTAAGCACTATTAAAGCAGATGAATAAGGTCTCACCTCTCACTCTGGGAGGCTTATATAATACCTGATACATAAGCAAGAAATCCTCCATAGCATATTCTTCAACCTGGGACCCTACTTCACAAAGAACTTGTGAGATGAGCACGTAACAGTGGGATCTACCAGTCAGATTATGTACTGCACTATACAGAAACTTCAATATGAAGCTATGTTCTCAAACAAAAGGCCATATGGGACTTTCACCCTAGAGGTAAAACAGGACTCAAATTACCATCACTTCCAGTGATTCAGCTGAGCACTTGTGCTTCCCATTCCCACAAACGTTGGCTCTGTGTATTTGGAAATACTACTCCCCAAGACACCTGCACTTTTTCCCACTAACAAAGTGAGGATGTCAGTAAATTACCAGTTGCAGCTGCTGCCAAAATATTTTGGACTCTTTACTGGCAGATGAAAAGAAGAGTCCCCATAATGCAGAGTCTAATCAGCAGGAGGAGATTGAGCTGCTTTTACAAAATGGTAAGAGGAAGAAATACATGTGCAATCCAAGTAATCCACTTAGGTGCCTCCTGATGTTCCTTTGATCCATTTTTTAAGTGTGAATGAACATATACAGCAACCTGATCTGAGAAGGATAGAAGGATCAAAGTTTGAGCAATGAAAGTTTGGGACACAGCATGTGTAGGCCTGCCTAAGTGAAAGCTTAAAGATAAATTAGACTGGATAGTGGCTGGAGGAGATGTGTACTAATTTCAGGGCAGAGATCAGCTGAAGTGTTGGGGGCCATAGTTCACCCCACTAACCTTATTCAAGCAAAATAGCACATAGAAACCACGGACATGCTGTACCACAAACCAATATGGAGAAAGAGTGGCACAAGTTGTGTACTGTGGTGGTCGTTAAAATATCCTGTAGACCTCTAATGATAGAAAAAGTATTTGACCAAGCAGCTGCTCTGTGAAGTCTCACCCTGGGTTAACATGGAGTCCACACTTTCCCTGGGCTGCTCCCAGACAATGATGGAGTGCAGCAGCGATATCATGCAGGTCCATTTCTGAGAGAAGTGGAATTCCATGGATGGTTAAAGTTGACTCAAAGACTCCTTGTTTTCCCTCACATAGATATTTGCCCTAATAAAAACCATTCATATTTAATCTTGTCTTCATAACTTTTAGAGAATCCAGACTAACATATATTAGAATTGTTAAATTGTAGATTATGAAAATACTCAAATTTACTGGATAATTCCACATTATTTAGAAGGAGAGCATACCAAGATTGTATGTTAGAATTAATTTGAATTAGCCATTTTACCAACACTCGGTATTTTCAGATTTTTAGTCTGTGACAGTATGTTACCTTTCAAACCCTGTCCAATTTCAGCTTTCCTTTGCATTTTTCTAATTTCTGTTATGGGTGAATGTCTTTTTCTCTACGTAGTGACCACTTATATTTTCTTTTATGTGAAGGCATGCTTTCTAAATCTTTATCAATATTTCTATTGTGTTGTTTATATTTGTCTTATTAATTTACATAAGTTATTTACATAATCTTGATAGTACTCTCTCTTTAGAAATATGTGTGGTGATTTTTTTTTGGTATTTGTGGCTCGTGATTTCACTTTTTTTTTTTTTTCTTCAAGACAGATCTCACTGTGTCGCCCAGGTTGTAATACAGTGGGACCATTTCGGCTCACTGCACCCTCCGCCTCCCAGATTCAAGTGATTCTTGTGCCTCAGCCTCCCAGGTAGCTTGGATTACAGGTGTGCGCCACCAGCATGCCCAGCTGATTTTTGTCATTTAGTAGAGACAAGGTTTCACCATTTTAGCCAGGCTAGTCTAGAACTCCTAACCTCAGGTGATCTGCCCGCTTTAGCCTCCCAAAATGCTGGAATGACAGGCGTAAGCCATCACAGGAGGTCTGATTTTACATTTTAAATAATGGCTTTTGAGGAATGAAAATATTTCTTCTACAGTGCTCAAATTTTTTGACTTTTTCATAAATGCTTCATGATTGATTTTCTGTATTTAAGAAAGTTGTTTCTAACACAGGTGCATACAGATAATCTATTATTTTATCTATAAATGTAAACATTTTTGACCAGGCCATTTGAGATACATATTTTGGAATTTTCAACTGCTTGTTTGTTTTCCATATAAATAACCAAATGATCTGGCACATTTTTTTAAGATTTTATTTTTTCCCAATTATCTGAAATCTAAAATAAGTCATATATGAAAATTAACAAATAAAATAAATATGAGTCTTTTCTGGGTTCTTTGTTATATTCATTGTATCTATTACTTTATTCATATGCCAAGTAACAGTGTCTTGCTTACTATATTTTTGTAATAGTTCCTGTTATCTGGAGGAGCAAGTCTTGATATTATTTCTTGTTTTTATTTTTGTTTGTATATTTTGGCATCTCCTTATTGAGTTAAATAAGATATTTTCATTATAATTTCATTAAAATTATGCATTAATTTGATTATATTTTACAACTTTATGCTACTAGTTTTTTAATTAATAAACATAGAATATATGTGTATTTACTTTTTCCTCCCTAATAAAGATTTAAAACTTTTAATATTTTCTCCTGCTTTATAATACATAGTGCCTGGCAGATCACAGGTGTTCAGTATGTATGTAATATTGATGACAGAATTTGAATAGGCAGGTGTTATTGGATATCTATTATTAGTTAATTATTTGTATCTAAATAATAGAAAAGTTCTCTTTAGATCTACCTGGTTCAAGCTTTTTGGAACCCAGTAAACAGACAGTGGCCCAGAGAAACCCTGATAATATGGGCCCAGGATTTCCTTTCTTTAGCCTTCTCCCACTATACATCAGTGTGTTTATAATTTGAATACTCTGTATTGCATAATTTTAAGTAAATTAATATTTTCTAAGTTACCTGATCATACTTTTTGTTGTAATGATTGTAAATGTAAAATTTACTAAAATGTCCCTCTATCAACTTTGTGCCATGAGAATAAGAGTTAACACACATTTGTATTCCTGATATTTAAGTGTGGACATAATAATTATTTAAATTATTTTCAGTGATATATTAAAAGTTTATTTCAAAGAAAAGATCAATGGAATTTATTTATTAAATATAATTATTCAAATCAAATCAAAGCAAAGATTAGTGTGTGCCAGTTATCAATTTATTGATTCTAAGCTCCAATCCCACTCACTCTTCATTGACTGCTTTGTGAAATGGAGACTCTGTAAGCATTTTCTTTTGTAACTGATGCTAAATATTGGCAGTTGAGAACACTCTAGGGACAGAGAAGAAAGAAAGGCTCTTTTTTTTCCTGGTTCCAGTGTTTAATTATTTTCTTCTTTCTTGTTCTGTGTATCTATGAGCAGTGGCCTTTACCTCCAGCAGTTTCAGTGACATCTCCTTGGATGAACTCTCAATAAGCCTCAGAGTTATCCCAGCAATTGACTTACCAGCCTTAGACTACCAGAACCTCGCCAGGATGTCTTTACCTTGCCAGATCCAGCTAAGGTTCCCTACTCACCAGCCTAAACCCACAGGTTCTGCTATGAGAGGCTTTGAGTTTATCAGTCCTGGCCTGTAGATTCTTGTGTGCCAATCTTGACCAGCAGACTTTGAACCAGTTATGGTTGGAAAACTCAGTGAATTTCTCCTCCATCCTATGACCTTCTCTTTCCAGGTCTGAATTCCAACCTTGAGGGAGATACTTCTTCAAGTTCATATATTTTTGAATATTCTCCCTCAGATCCAGAGTATTACCCTGTGCGTTCTTTACCCTTTCAAAATCAATCACCTATTATATAATAATTAAAAAGTATTTTGTTCAAATTACTGTATGAGTTCAGTCTCCTAACTGAATCCTGGCTGATACGTACTATTTTCTGTAATTCTTCATATTCACTGAAACCATTAAAAAATATTATTCCTCCTGTAGTTTCCTCTCAAATTTTACTTATTTATCATATTCTTATATTATAACCTAGCATTTTGTATTCTTACATTATTTAACATTATTCTTTTATTTATTTACATTTGTATACATTTGTATAATTATGATACAGCTTTCAAAATGTATCCTATGTAGGCTGATTATAAGGGAGATTTGACTGCCATGAAAGTAAAGTTCCTGTTTCTTTATAAATTCACTTAGATAATTTGTTTACTGAACAATTATATTTCCACTTTAACTTGCATAAGTCTTGTAATATATATTATATTTGCATATGATTTTCCCAAAGGGAAAGCGAAAACATAGAACATGTCAACTTCATGAAGGATTGTGGACTTTATTGATGGAAACATTTGTTTTTTCTGTGTGGGAGGAGTAAATTACGCAAATTAAGAAGTGAAATCTATATCCCATATTTAAACATGAAGTTGTATTATTTCCACAATTTCTATATAAAAAGGCATTATGTTTTCCTAAAAGTTTCTAATATTTATAATATTTGTGAATTCATCCATGCCACTCCAAATCACTATTCTAAATTTTGTAAAAGCTTTTAGAGACTTTGGATTTTCTTTTTCCAACTCAGAGTCACTGAGAGATGCTGAACATCTTCTGATAATCCTCAGCTTGTTTAATAAGAATGGGTTTTTGGAAATATTCAACTGAGTTTTGTCTTTAAATAATAATCCCAATACTTTCAAGCTACTCATATTTCAGAACTATACTATATGACTGGAAATGCTAAATATTAATAGATGATCCCAAAGAAATGTACAAAGTGTTAATCATGATTTTTCATTTGAAGGTATTTCTTTATTACTAGTTGCCAACTTATGTACATATTGAGACTAGACTATAATTGTACAAATATGTTATAATCAGTGAATGCTTATTTCTTCTAATTATAAACCTACATTAAAAACAAAATTTATCTTTCATTATTAATATTAATGTTAATATTATTTTTGTTTGGAGAGGTGTTATAAGACTCTTGTGAAAGATAAATAAACAAATTTCTCCAAGAAACTGGGAAATGGTACAGTGATGTTGGCAAGATGTGATACATTATCACCTTCAGATCTGTTTCTGTAAGATAACTAAAAAGCTATCTATTAAGAAATGTTAAGTTTTTATGTATAAAATACAAGTAATATAATCTAAGGGCCCTTGCAATAAAAGACAATGAATCCTTTTTCTACGTGTTGAATATTTTTCATGCCTCATTTTACACATTCTTATCCCCACCTTTTGTGATCATCAGCACACCGACAGATAATACTTGAGAGTTATCATTAAAACTCCTTGCTCAGCTATATCTCAAATCTTTTGCTTTATGCCTTGGACAGCCTTTCTCTCTACCATGTGGATGCCTGCAGAAGCCTGCACAGTCATTCTGCCACATGCACTGTGGATACACAGCTGATTTACAGCTGGGCTGAAAAAGCCTCATCTCTGTTTCTGGGGATTCCAGGATATCCTGTTTTTGACTCTTAGCTAAGGTAAGTGCAAGACTTATGATGTGCAGTTTAAAGTTGAAACTCTCCTGATGATCTCCAAATCAGTTTCTTCACTGGTAGTTTACTATGAACCTAATCAGTTAGGTCAGCTTTCTTGATTTAGTGGCCGGTGGTGTACTGCAAACCCTCACTAGATCTTCTGCTTTGAGCTCTTTGGCAACCAAGATTCTTCACTCAGAAGTTGGTAGTTCAAGCTGCAGAAAAAGCACTGTCTATGTGTGTGTGAGAATAAGGCCTCTCGGAGCTGGTGCATGGAATGTCTACAGGATCTGATACTTTCTGCACTCTTTTTCTCTTACTGGACCATATTGTTTGTCTTCAAATATGACCTTTAACGCAAGTATGCTCGGTGGTGTCTGCTTAATCCTTTCAATTATTAAAACTTGGGAACTCTTTGCATGTATAAACTTGGAAGTGGAAAGGATATAATAATTCTGGGACAAAATTTGATCAATGAGCAGCAAAAGCCAATTGATACGTATAGGCTTCATTTGTGTCTCAGATGGACACTTCTGAGATGCAAGGTAAAAAGTCGCTTGGACTGTCCCAGCAACAATGATGTCCATTTTAGCGCAGAAATATCCAACTCGTTCTTCACCCTTAAATGGGGTTTTTCTCTTTCCCTGTTTTATTTTTCCCAGTCTTTCTAGTTCTGATCATTGGCATCAGTTCTTCAAATGAATTAGCTGAGTGCAGTTCCTAGATTCAGATTCTGCTTTGGGAGCAAACCCAAGCTAGGACAGGTTAATAAATCAATTTTGCTATTTTTCTTATTCTTTTTCTTTTTTTTATGGCATATTATTCTTTACTATCAAATGGCAGATTTATGTGAAATTTGAAAATGTAAACTATGCAAGTATGTAATCATTATTGAGCTCTTGTAAAAACTAAAATTGCATCAAATTATTGGATGAAAATAATTCTGATTAGTAAATTATCTTCTCTATTTTAGCATTCACTGTTCACTTAAGTGCTCCCGCAGTATTATGGAGGAAGAATCAGCTTGTAGAAAAAGAAACCTTATAAATTGAGAGAAGACTACTTATTAACAACAATAGATAGCAAACTGCAATGAGTCATAGCCTAAAAATTCTAAAAAGAAATTGAAATTAGACCCTTATATAAAACAAATCAATCAACCTAAAATAACAGAAAAGTAAATATGTTTTACTTTTAATACTATGAAATTTTAATATTATGAAACCTGTTAAATGAAAAAGTTTAAGCCCAAGAATGGTAGATGGAAATAAAAACAATGCACCAAAAAGAGAGAAAAATATTCAAAATAATATAGTAAAATAAAAGACAAAATTAGTAGTCCATTTTGGTCAACCAAGAAAATATTTTTGTGATAAGAAAATAACAGTAATTCTGTATGTATTTAAATACTGTTTTTTAATTAAAATGCTAGACAAACTACTTAGAATTTATGAAGGAGTTTTTCAAATAAAAGTTAAATATGTTATCTTATTTGGAACTAGCATAAACATATGAATAAATTTTGACTCATTTAAAATATATACTACAAACTTAAGGCTAATAACTAAAATAACAGAAGTGTAAATTATAAAACATTTAATCCAGAATAAGAATTAAAGAAGTAAAAAGAGGAAGACTTTAGAGCAAATGGAAAATGCTATTAACCCAGTATTAAGGTAGGGCACAGAAAATGTATGCTATACATTCATTGCTGGTGGGAATGTAAATTGATACAGGTATTTTAATGAGTAACTTAATATGTCTGATAGAATTTAAAATTCCCATGCCTTTTGATTCAGTAATTCCTAAATATATATGCTAGAGAAACAGTTGTTCACATATATAAAGAGACATATAAAATAATGGGCCTAGGAAATAGTGATTATAATTCAATATGATTTAAACAATCTAAAATTCCATCTAAATGAAATAGTTAAAATATTATCACATTCTTTCACACACACACACGGATTTTATTCAGCACTTTACATAGTTTGCCCTTTCTTACTCTCTCTTATTATGCCTATATACACAGCATAATGGATATATATATGTAGGCTCTCTCATTATCTGAAAAAAGCCACTAGTTATAGCACATGTATCTTACAGTGAATTTAAAACAAAACTCAAATCTTAACTCATGTAGTTTAGGAAAATATTTAAATTTTGAGACATGGTCTCAATCCAGACGTTAGGAATTATGTCTGCCTATTATCATGGGCCATTAGAACAAAACTTGATATACGAAAATCCTCGGTGCTGAGATTACGTCAATATATCAATATTGAGATTATGTCAATACATCAATATTTGTTCCAATTGCTCCATCATAATAGGAAGAAATAGTGCCTAATGACTGTATTGAGACCGTGTGTTAAAAGTTGAATATTTTCCTAAACTACATGAGTTAAGATTTGAGTTTTGTTTTAAATTCACTATAAGACACATGTGCTATATCTAGTGGCTTTTTTTTCAGATAATGAGAGAGTCTACATATATATCCATTATGCTATTTATATAAGGAATATAGAAAATATAAACCATAATTTTACGTTAGGATCATTGTATATGTTTATGTGTAAGTTAATTTTCTGGCCAGTTTTAGATATTTGAAAACAGTTTCATTTTTAATTCAATTTTTCTCTGAGTTCTATCCCAAGCAGCCATAATGTGTAAGGCAACGGGACAACAGACAGCATCCAGCAGGGATTCCTAAGAAAAGACAAAGCTGAAATGGGAGTCTGAATGACTTTTCTAGATCTACTTATTTAAAACTTAGGAGATCATAACATATTAAGGTAAAGTAACTTCTAAGCTTCTTTTTGAATCCCACATGAGATATACAAAATAACCTGCACTTTATTAGGTTGGTGCAAACATTATTGAGGTTTTTGCCATTGAAAGTAATGACAAAAACAGCAATTACTTTTGCACCAATCTAATAGATTTTTTAAAATTTATTTATCCAGAGTATACTCTACTGAATGTTTTTGTTTTAAGTGTATATATTTTTGTGTGAAATTGCATCAAAATTTAAATGTGTTTTGTTCTGTGGTTGATTGTTGAAATACTTTATATCTCATGTAAACGAAGAAAGCAAACATGTATCCAAATGAATAAAAGTAATTTGACCATTCTTCTACTAGAAAAAAATGTAATATAACATTTTTTAAATGTTTCTAGTTCTCATCAAGTACAAGTACAAGCGGATTTAGTAGCAGTATTTATAAATGCAGCAACCTCAACTCTGAGGTTGTTTCAACTTCTTGCCTTAGAGCAGACAAAAAGAAAAAGGGACAGAGATAGAGAAAATAAGATTCTGTTGGCATTATCAAGAAGGAGGAAGGGAAAGTAGAAGGATAAAAAAGTTCGACACAGGTGGAGTCTTTCCTAACCTCTCACCCTCACTTTTATTTTTGCTACTTTTTTTTCCTTTCATTTTGTGTGTAAAAGTTTAAGGCAGCATCCATGTTTCCAAGAAACTTTTCCTCACACTTTTCATCAACCATCGTTATTTTAGATCAAAGTGAAATTCTATTAAGCCCCAGACAAACTATTTGAATCGGGTATAAAGTCAAGGCCTTCCCACTAATGTCTTCTACTCCTATCCATACTTTACTGTAAAACACAAATCTAATTCTGTTGTCATCCTCCTTAAAAATCTTCTACTTCTTATTGTTTACAAATGAAATAAAAACCTCAGGGCATGTTATTCCAATTTCTTTACAGTCTGTCTCTTTTTAACTTTCCCTGCTTCAGCCCTGGTGTTTCCTATGTACCCTAACTATATATTTTCTGTATTTCTTCTACTTGCAGAGGAATCTACTATCGTGGAGTGTGTGTGTGTGTGCCCGTGTGTGTGTATATACATATATATGCATATATATATGAGTGTGTGTATGTATATATGTATGCATATTTACACATTTTTATTGTCCATTATTCTCTGAGCAACTTAAGGCAGTGCCTTCTGAACATTGCCCAGAATTGGCAAAGTGTAGGGGAACTTAAATATTTGTTAAAGGATTACTTTTAAATGATTATGAATGAGTGAATGGATGAATAAATGACACCCACCACTTCATATATTCAGGCCTACAGAGACCATATTTTTCATTATTTTCTAAAAATATTCTTTAAAATATAATGATAGATCTTATCAATGCCATTATCTCATAAATTGGTAAAACTATGTACAAAGCAATATGACATACTCAAGAATAGCCATAAAATTATGCAAACTTTCTGGCCCAAAAGTGTGACTGCTAGAATTTATTACAATACTCCTCTTAAACTATAAAAAAGTAGGGAGAAATGGATACTGAAATATTAGACACTTAGGTTAACCACAAACATTAGAAAGATTTTCTTCTCTAAGAGATATAGGAAAATCCTAGGTGCTGAGATTATGTCAATACATCAATATTTAGAATTCAGAGAAAAATTGAATTAAAAATGAAATGTTTTCATCTATCTAAAACTGGCTAGCAAAATAAACTTAAGCATATACAATGATCCTACTGTAAAATTATGGTTTACATTTCCTATATTCCTGAGCAATACTGATGATGAAAGTTTATTTTAAAAAATTCTGAAAAATATGAACCACACAGAAGTAATCACTAAAATGCATTTGTGTCTATTTATTGTCTATTGCAACACTCAGCTCTGCCTTCATAGCCTGATATCAGCCAAAAGAAGGTTTTTGTTTGTTTGTTTTTTGAGACAGGGTCTAGCTCTGTCACCCAGGCTGGAATGCAGTGGTGCGACCTTGGCTCACTGCAACCTCCGTCTCCTTGGTTCAAGCGACTTTGGTGCCTCAGACTCCCAGCAGCTGGAATCACAGGCCTGCACCACCATTCCCAGCAGTTTTTTTGTTTTGTTTTGTTGATATTTTCAGTAGTGATGGGGTTTCCCCATGTTGGCCAAGCTGGTCTGAAACTCCTGAGCTCAGGTGATCTGCCCGCCTTGGCCTCCCAAAGTGCTGGGATTACAGGTGTTAGCCACCACAGCCAGCCAAGTATTGGTTTAAATGTAGCTGTGTTTCAATAAAACTTTATTTACAGAGGAATTTTTTCTTTTACCTTAGAGAAGATTTATTTTTCTATACATTTGAAAAGAATTTTTTTAAGCAAAGTGCCCCAGGCAAATAACCGTTCTCATCTTGAAGAGGGAGCCAAGAGGCTTCCTCAGAAATTCTTTGGGCAAGTGGGGTCAGCTGGTTTCCAAGGCCCTTAGGGCAGCCTGATTCTCTGTCAGTGTTCATAAAACTTCCTAGAACATTAGCTCCTTAAAGGACCTCCAATACCGAAACTATCTCATTTAACAGACGGAAAAAGTGATGCTCACGCCAGAGAAGAGTCAGCCCAAGGTCATCTAGGATCAGTGGCACACCTAGGATTCAGGCCCAAGGACCCCCAGCTGACCTGCCTTCCCTGGAACCTCACTGTGAGTTCTTTAACCATGGCTGTGTTTTCAAAGTTGAACTGGGGCTGCTGTTGATACCACCTTTAAATGCCTGCTTTTGTCATGGAGACCATGAGAACTTCACTCTTCAGCTGGCAATTTACCTGGCTGCACAGTGCTCAGGCACACACAGGCTTCAGGGCTACAAGGTAAAGGATTTGCCAAGGCCAAGTGCTGAAACCCACTTCTTGTTTTGAAGCAAATGAGAACTTCCACCTGTATTTGACCTGGGTATGTATATTAATTAGTTTGGCAACTGAGATTTTTTTCTTGATGATCAAAAGTCCTAACTGGCAGTTAAATATGTCTTTTTTTTTTTTTTTTTTGAGACAGAGTTTCCCTCTTGTCACTCAGACTGGAGTGCAATGGCACAATCGAGGCTCACTGCAACCTCTTTCTCCCCAGTTCAAGCAATTCTCCTGTTTCAGCCTCCCAAGTAGCTGGGATCACAGGTGTCTGCCACCACACCTGGCTAATTTTGTATTTTTTAGTAGAGACAGGTTTTCACCATGTTGGCTAGATTGGTCCTGAACTCCTGACCTCAGGTAATCCACCCGCCTCGGCCTCCCAAAGTTCTGGGATTACAGGTGTGAGCCGCTGCCCCTGGTCAAATATGTCTTTTTAAAAAAATAATAATAATGACTTTTAAATACAAGTGACCTGAGTATGCAAAGTATTTCTAGACTCAGGGTTCTTAAAGTGAGGAAAAATTAGCAAAAGCATTATTTGACAGCCCCTAGAATAGGCCAAATATGAAATAACTAACAAATTGCAGATAGTAGTGTGCTCTACAAAGAAAAAGAGAGCAAGACAATGGATTACAGAAAAGATGAAGTTTATTTTAGATGGAGTATTAAGTGACAGATTCTATGAGGAGGTGAAAATTGACCAGACAACTGAAAGAAGTAAAACAGCCATACTAGTATCTCAGGAAAAATTATCGCAGGAAAAAAAGAGGAAAAATAAAATGACTCTATGTCGGAGGGAGTTTGGGCTGGCATGGTGGCTCATGCCTTTAATCCCAGCACTTTGGGAGGGCGAGGTGGGTGGATCACTTGAGGTCAGGAGTTCGAGACCAGCCTGCTGAACATAGTGAAACCCGTCTCTACTAAAAATACAAAAATTAGCCTGGTGTGGTGGTGGGTGCCTGCAATCTCAGCTACTCAGGAGGCTGAAGCAGGAGAATTGCTGGAACCTGGGAGGTGGAGGTTGCAGTGAGCCTAGATCATGCCACTGCACTCCAGCCTGGGTGACAGAGTGAGACTCCACAAAAAAAAAAAAAAAAGGGGGGGGTGGGTGGGGAGGAGGGTTTGGCATGTTTAATGGAAAAGGTCTGTGTGTGACCAGAATAGATGGAATGCAGAGAAGCAAAATATAGATTTTAATTTCCATGGTTCTTTACTGAAGAGTGTTTCTTATTTAAGTAACAACGCTATGATTAAATTGATTGTGAAAGAATTACAAATCTAGAATTTATTGCATGATCAGATAGGAGAACAGATTTGATTTGCTAACTCTGTATAATATACTACAGTGTAAGCCACCCTCTATTACTTTAGCAAAAGATGTTTTTTTCATTTTCCTGCAAGTATATTTTTTCTCTAAAACCTTAATTAGCATTTTTTAATATTGCTGAAAGATGGGGATATAAGTTCCATTTATTTCTTGAAACTGAATATAATTATCAAATATTGAAAAATAATAATGGGCATCATTATAATTACTGTTAAGTAGTTTTCCTGTGTAGAGAGAATTATAAAAATATCCTTCATTATCTTTCATGGATAAATGATGTTTTTCTCATGAGCCAGAGAAAAATTATCACAATGTCTGCCCAGGTGTTTCTGTTATGCTTACAGAAGTGAGTAGTGCTATTTGCAGACACTGTACTTTCTCTCTTTTTCATATGAGTACATTAATCAATTGTGGAGTTGTGGCATCTGCTGTAAAACAATTTGTTTTTCCATTATTTGATGGCTACACTTTTTCTTTTAGTTTTTTTCTCTTCTTATTGAATCACATTTTCTTTCCTCTTCTTTTAAAAATATTGCTGTATTGATTTACAAAAAATATATATTTTATTGCCTCATTTTAATTTTTGGTAATCCATGTACTGCTTTATTAAGGCCTATATAACTCATAATCCAACTCATCGATTAAAAGTTCAGGAAACCAAAGAGATGGCTTTTTCTCCAATTGAAGATATCATAATGATAATTTTGGGGGCTGGTGAAAACTGAGATTGTCAGAAGGCTAATTTTTTCTTAGATGTCATTTTTGTTGGTCACAAACTAGAGATGAAGCTCTCTACAGGCAAGTATAGAACCATCTCTCTGTGCAACAATTTGTATTTTCAGACCACTTTTAGTCTTTGGGGGTAGATACAATTACTTAGAAAAATCTTCAATGTCTCTTTGGAAAACAGTTGATCTCGAACTCAGTTCTAAAGCTGAGTCAGCATCACAGGATTTCAGATTCTTGAATGTTATTTTTGTTGTCTTTCTCTTACTAAATTGTTATCACTGAATATTTCTCCTTTGTTTTACTCCATTTGGACTGCTATAACAAAATACCATAGACTGAGTAGCTTATAATACAGAATTCACATCTCACAGTTCTGAGGCTGGGAAGTTCAGCATCAAGGTGCCAGCAGGTTCAGTGTCTTGTGAGGGCCTGTTTTCGGTTTCATGGAGGGCCCCTTCTCACTGCATCTTTACGTGGTACAAGTGGCAAGTCAGCTCTCTGGGGCCTCTTTTATAAGAACACTTATAGGAATATTGAATTAGTGAACGAGCTCTGTTCTCGTGAATTAATCATCTCCCAAAAGGCCCTATCTCCTAACCCATTTATGCTGGAGGTTGCAATTTTTGTGTGTGAAAAATCAGACCTTGGCAATGACCTTGAGCAGTAGGATATAAATAACTCCCACAAGCTTAGCATTCCAATAAGGGAACACTAGGCATAAATGGGCTTAATACCCTCATCTTAGGGGAAAGGATTTCAATATGTGAATTTTGTGAAACACAAACATTCAGACGGCAGCATCTTTGCTTTCTTAAAAAGTTAAATGAAACAAGTTCCCAAATTTAAACAAGCAGAAATATGTATACAGATAAGGGTAGAGGAATAGTTTAAAATTATTTTAATTAGATATTTGAAGTCCTCAGTACGCTACATTTATAAAAAAGAAATGGTATATGTGACAGGGAGCAAAATAAAACCCTGTGTCATAAAAAGAATCCACTATCAATTATTTAAAAAGATCTTAGCAAGGAAATATCAGCTTCGATATTACAAACTTTTCAGATGTGAAAAATGATTTATTTTCAAATATAGTTCAAATGAAGTTTTGCCTTAACAAAATGGCTTTTCTAAAGGCCACCTTTAGATCAAAATACTTAATCTAACTTGTGCCACTTCTTGGTAACCCTTGGTAACCCCTAAATTGTTTTCTCTATTTTCTCCAACTACTCTACTAAAAAGTTTCTTCCTATTTCTCCACATGGCTTCAAAAAAGGGAACATAAAAGAGAAATACCAGTCAGTGATAATCATGTGGAAAAAAATAATAATGTGAAGCAATTTTTGTTTGTTTGTTTGTTTGTTTGTTTTCTCTCGAGGTCATGATCTGGTACTTTTTTACAGCAAACTCATACTTAACAAATTTTAAAGATTTTTTAAAGAATGAACTAATGAATTGGGTTAGGTAAGTTTATCTTAACCATTCTTATGTCCTTTAATTTTCTGCACTTTGCTAGTATTTTACTTTTAGAATCCGTAGTCAGCTTGAATCATATTAATTTTCTGACAACTGAATAAAAAATATTTCAATATTTCATGCATCTTGTTTATTTGTTTGTTTTGGTAGTTTTTTTTAAGAAAGTGAAAGTAGTTTAATTTAGAGAGAAGCCATGGAAACCGGGAAACAAAAATGAGATTGTGATTGGGAAGGAAGGGATCGTCATCAATAAAATTGCTTTACTAAGCAAGTTATTGCTGGAGGTGACAAAACTTTGATCCCACTAGAGCCTTTAAAAGCCAGTATCGAACACACTGTTCAGTAATGCCACTCAAATGAGCAGTGCATTTATTTATTCATTCTTTATCAGTCATTTGGTTGGTAGTATGTTATTAATTCCACAGTAATTCTGACTTGCCACTTGCATGGACAAATTGGGTTCCAGCTGCCAGAAAAATCCTTCAGGCAAAGGATGCAGCTGCCACCAGTTGGAATTCTAGGGGATACTTGGTCTTTATAATTTCTGAGTACATAAGCATCTACTATATGTGCTTAATACAAATGAATGCCATTTTAATGTACCTTAAAATTTCTAAGCAAATACATGAAAAGCAATGTCTAATTTCTTGCTTATTTTCAAGGTATACAGATAACTCTGTTATATTCAGAAAGAGCAGGGACCTGAAAAAAAAAATCTGTGTTAAAGTCTCATATGAACTAAAAAGAAAAAGTAATTTATTCTTCTGCTACTTCTCTTTTCAGTAAGGGTGGTTGCCTTGTCTTGCTCATTGCAAGAATGAAAGCTGTATAAGTTGAATGAAAATATAAATATGACTTTGAAGGTGGGTAAGTCTTACCTTCCCTTCTAGCAGTCTCTGAAGTTGCTTGAACAATGGCTTATTTTATTATTAGTTGGGACTCTTTGGTTGCAAGTAATGGAAGTATACTTGAACTAGATTAGCAAAAATGTAAGGCTTGTTATAACATTGCACAAGCACAGAACTCGCTGCTGGCTGGTAAGATATAGGACTACTGCATTATGGGGATTTTTGAATTCTAATCTACTAGAGGGACCATTGTTTTAAAAGTTCTTTAGAAGTTATTCTTGGAACTACTATTTATACACGAAAGAATGTGGATGGATCTCAAAAGCATTATGGCAAAAGACAGAAACAAAAGGCTACATATTGTTTCATTCCATTCACCTAACATTTTAAAAAGCACAAAACTATAGCAGTAAAAATGAATCAGTGGTCCCCAGAGACTAGGGGTAAAGGAGCAACTATAAAAAGGAGACTTTTGGGATAATGGAACTATTTTAAATATTGACTATGGTTGTGGTCACAAGACTGCAAAACTGTATACAGTTATTAATATTTATAGAACAATACACTTCAAAATGGGGGATTTTATTGAATGCAAATTATACCTCAATAAACCTGATTGCTTTTTAAAATATATATATATATATAAATATGAAATAGATTATTTTTAGTAAGTGACTAGAAAAAGGGCAAGCAAAATAATCGGTAACTTAGTAGGCAGCAAATTATTGTTCATTTATTTAACTCAGGTTTTAGAAAGTCCATTGTGAAGCTAGTAAAAGATTGTGATTTGAATTATTTCTCAAATTATAGATGATTTTTAATGAAGACAACAGATATACCTAATAAATTATTTTTAATTGATCCATGGATACTATCTTATCTTTATTCACACTTAGATATAAGAAAACACTAAAGATAGACTTAGCATGTTTCTAAAATTAATTTCTCTAATTTGCAACACAGCACATAATAGTCATGATAATTAAGCCAACTGATATCATAATTTATGATTACTTCTTGTCAGAAACTGTGATATTATTTCCATTGAGTAGGAAGTGGGGAGTGGGGCAATTAAACTTAGTGCTAGAATTATTCTCCTTTTAAGCATAATTCATCAAAATCAAGAGTGAGCTTCAAAATGACCAGTAATAAAAGTAGGAAGAGAGATGATTTTCTATAAAGTGCAATTTATGGATTCTGGATTCACAGAGAAAATAAACACATAGTGAATTAGGTAAAAATAAAAGAGGTAAAATATCCTGCATGTATTCTATTAACAAGATCAAAAGAAAACAAAATTTACATTACCGTAGAGATCTTTATAGCACCCCGTTTGTTAAATTGATATTGTTGTGTTAAAAAATTGACACAGACATATTAATGGCTACAAAGAAAGAAATAAAGAACTCCTTCTCACTTTTAAATAGATTCTGGATTCTAGAGGATAGTCCACACTTTCTTGTGCAATTGTTTAAATGTTGAAATTGCTGACATTAAGTGTGTATGCATTTACATGTTGAAATGCCACACAAAGGGTTTATTAATTTACTCTTTTTATAAGCAATGTAAGTCCTTGGTCTCTACAGTCTTATCAATATCAAGTATTTTGTACATTACTGATTTTGCCAATTTAGTATATGAAGAAAAAGCCCACAATATAATCTTTATTTTGTTCAGTGGTAAGCAAAGTTAAACATATGTTTTTTAAAAGTCCCATTTTGCGTCTTGATTTCAAATCATCTGGTCATATTCCCAAATATTTATATGTTGCATTCTTTGATTTTTATTCATTTATGGAAAAGTTTCGGGGATAAAGAAGGATTAGTATTTTCTGTGTTCCACATGGCTGTTCTAGACCATTGAAACTCCTGTCCACATAGTGTCTTATTTTTTTTAATAGTTTCACATAGAAAGTATGTTAATATACATGATCTTTTAATTATTTCCACATAAAAGGTATTTAGAATTTATCATTATTATCATCATTTCAACTTTAGACTTAAATAAACTGAACCTCAAAGTGGTCAATGACTTGACCGAGTCCCAAGTAGAAATGAAGCTGATTTTCTGGCTTCTTTCGTATTTTTTCAAACTACATATATTCATTACATTTATTTTACTAACAAAGTATTGCTTTATCCTTTCTTATGAACCAGCATTTTTATTGTTTTTTTAATTAAATTTATTCTTATTAATAAAAAAACAAGTCAATTCCTTGGAAATTTTTGCCGAAACCTGTTTTACATTTCAATATCTCCATAATTGGCCATAGGCTTTAATGACATTGAACTCCTTCTTTCTCTGTTGCTTCAGGCTTGTCCATAGAAGTAAATATTCGCATGATTTTAACTTTCCAAACTGGCCCGAAATAATTTGTCTTAACTATTGTCAAATTATTACCCACTTTGTAAAGCTGTGTTCAGTTTCTTCTCCTCAATGAAAACGTTCATGGTCATATAAAAATATGATTACAATTTTTCTCACTCTCTGAGTTACCTTGTATTTTATAATATTTTCATGTAAGAAAATGAGCTGTCCATTTTAAATGTCCATCATAATTCTTCAAATAATGTTTATAAAATTATACTCACTGGCTAGTAATATGCAGTTTGGCAACAGAATGAGACTATATACAAATTAATAAAGTCAGTTGTTGGTCACAGTTAACAATAATTTTTCATAAGCTTGGAGTTGAGGAAATTCAAAGGCACTCAGTATTTTTTTAAATTAAGAATTGCAAGAAGAAAGAGACAGAAAATGAGTATGTTATTCAAAATGAAAAGATCAATGCAATCATCCAAACCCAGTTAAGACTGTGTAACAGTGCAAAACAAGGTGTTTCTAATATTTCTAGAATATCACTGTCTTTCCCTTATAGTAGGCTCAAGATTTCTTTAAATGACGTAGGGAAAGTAACTTTCCATCGGCAAGACAGAAAATAGCTATTGGGAGATTAGGGTAGGAGACGGAAGGAAAGCAAAGGGAAGGGAAGGGGAGGGGAGGGGAGGGAAGGGGAGGGGAAGGAGAATGGCAGGAAAGAACAAGAAAAGGAGGGAGAAAGAACTAAGAAAGGAAGAGAGGAAGGGAGGGGAGGAGAGAGAGAGGAAAAGAGGATGAAAAATGAGAGGTGGAATAACAGCTAGACAGGAAAGGAGAATGAGAAAAGTAAGACGCAAACAGGGAGAGCAAAAATTAAAGTAACCTAGATGTGGCAGTCAAGAGATTGTGAAAGATGTGTATACAAAAGAGGGGCCATACCACAGCAGTAACTTGACCACAGCAGTAACTCAATGCATGATTTGTGTTCCTGTATCTTTTAATGGCACAAGTCCTGGGACCTTTGATGAGGCTCTGTCTAATCATAGAAGGACTCTGCCACCAGAATAACCTAGTTTGCATAAACTTTCCTCGTGTTTTCTTTCACTCCGCTATCCAGACTGTAGGGTGTGCCTTACATTATTTAGCTGAATTGTCAACAGGTGTACTGAGTAAACTGTTTGATTTATAAATATCTCTGTATCTAATCATGTATCAATTTCTCAAATTATGGTGTTTCACATATTGGTTTCTCTAAAGATTATTTCATTTCACAATTTGAGGCAGTTTTGTGAAAAGAAACATATACATATATTTTAATTTCTGCCTGAAATATACAACATTGAATTTCATTCAAATATTTAATGCCTTCACAAATAAAACGTAGCTAGTGTTTCATGTTGCTGTTTAGAAGTTTATTGAAATATGGCAGATAAAATGCTATAGAGATATTATTATGTTTAATAATTCAGTAGTTGCTTCAAATATGCTATAAAGTGTTGGAATATGGCCAGTTAACTTTAAAATATAGAATAATAAAATAATTGGATTTAAAATTGCTTCATATTATTTTTGTTTAATAAAAAGACAATCCATGTCTTAGGTGTACCCTTTTAAATCCTATCTACTTTCTGATTCTTAGGATTCTTAAAAAGAATATTGTAATGACTGAACAGAAATATTATATCTGATTTTGTACTAGAAAATTGAAGCAGCATGGGATCATGGCTAAGTAAGAGCTTTATAGCAGTAGCAAATAGTTACATGATTACTGAAGTATAGCTGTCACTGGAAATAGAAAGCTGCAAGGAACCTATCATAAAAGTAGCAATTTCAGTTTCACTAGTGTTTAAAATTAAAGCCTAGTAATTCATTGTGGATGTATTTCCTCAATGGTTTCAGGAAAGTATCCTGCTTTCACTGAGCATTTTCACTTTGTTCCTTATGTGTTTCCTTTCATAATGAAAAAGTTGTAATTTCAGATTGGTAAAACAATTGTTAGGACTTTGTGAACAAACACTCAAAAAGTTTTGTGTCATGAAATAATGATTAGTCAATTGTATTTATTGTTATAACACACTATGTTAAAAATTCACTGCCAGATGATCCACATTATGTTAGGTAAACCAATTTAATCAACAGTTTCCTCTTTTGACATATAATTAGCTGATGGATGAATTTAGAGGTGTAAAAAACCTTCAAATAAAAGCGTTTATGGAAAAAAATAATGGCTGTTTATGGAGTTTTGCATACATGTGTTACTGTCTTAAGAAGCTGAAATGAGATTTAAGAAATTGAACAATATTTAAAGAAAAAGATAACTTTTTTTTTTTTTTTTTTTTTTTTTTACAATTTGGTTTACCGTGAAAAGCATTTGGACAGATGTATCTATTGACATGTAATATTGCTGAGGGACATTGACAAACGTAGTCTCTAAAAAATTTAGGGGAGTTTATAAAAATAACCACAGTTTGAGATAAATTAAAGTAAACATAGAAGATACTGAACACAAACAGTAATAAATAATTATATTGAAAAGGTTTCGGAGAAAAGATAATCAGTTTGGTAATGAATAACATTTTTCTCATATAATATTTTAAGTACTAGAGGAATATGGTTCAATGATAACTTGTATGTAAGGCACTTTTCTTGACAATACTGAATACAAAAACATAATTACCACATAATATAGACATTCTTTTATTAAATATTTTTTAAGAATTTATTTTTAAAGTAATGTTTTATTTAGAAAAACCTAAAGACCCTACAAAAAAAGACCCGTTAAAGCTGATAAATGAATTTAGTAAATTTGCATGCTATGAAACCAATCTACAAAAATCAGCAGCATTTCTACATGCCATCAGAGAACAATCTGAAGAAGAAATTAAAGGACAGGCTTGGTGGCTAACAACTGTAATTCCAGCACTTCGGGAGGCCAAGGCGTGTGGATCACCTGAAGTCAGGAGTTTGAGGCAGGCCTGGCCAACATAGTGAAACCTTGTCTCTACTAAAAATACAAAAATTACAAAAATTGGCCAGACATAGTGGTGTGCACCTGTAGTCCCAGCTACTCTGGAGGCTGCGGCAGGAGAATTGTTTGAACCTGGGAGGCAGAGGTTGCAGTGAGCCAAAATCAAGCCACTGCACTCCAACCTGGGCTACAGAGCAAAACTCCATCTCAAAAAAAGAAAGAAAGAAAGAAAGAAAGAAAGAAAGAAAGAAAGAAAGAAAGAAAGAAAGAAAGAAAGAAAGAAAGCAATCCCATTTACAATAATGAAAACAAATCTAGATCTAAATATTCTTCATGGAAAAAATAATTCAAAATTTTATATGAAACCATGAAAAGACCTCAAATAGCAAAAGCAAACCTGAGCAAAAGAATACAGCTGAAGGCATCACATTACCTGATTTCAACTTATGTTACAGAACCATAGTTACCAAAAATGTATGGTCCAAGCATAAAAACAAATACACCAGTAGATTCGCAAAGATAATCCAGAAATAAATCCACGTCTACAATGAACTCATTTTCAACAAAAGCACCAGGAACATACATTGGAGGAAGGACAGTCTCCTCAGTAAGTGGTGCTGGGAAAACTGGGTATCCATGTGCTGAAAAATTAACTACACCCTTATCTCTCACCATACACAAAAATCAAATCAAAGTGGATTCAATTATTAAGCGAGAGCCCTGAAACCATGAAATTCCTGGAAGAAAACATTGGAGAAATGCTTTAGGAAATTTGTCTGGGCAAAGATTTTCTGAGTGAGACCTCAAAAGCACAAACAACTAAAACAAAAATTGACTGATGGGGTTGCATCGAGCTAAAAAGTTCTGCACAACAAAGGAAATAATCGACAAAGTGAAAACACAAGCAACAGAGTGGGATAAATTATTTGCAAACTATCCATCAAACAAAATATTAATAACTAGGATATATAAGGAACTTAAAAAAACTCAATAGAAAAAAGTATCCAATTAAAAAACTGGGCAAGAGATCTGAATATACACTTCTCAAAAGAAGACAGACAAATGACCAATAGGTATATGAAGAAACGCTCAACATCACTAATCATCAAGTAAATATAAATCGAAGCCACAATGAGATATCATCTCACTCCAGTTAAAATGGCTTCTATGAAAAAGACAAAAATGTTTGTATACTGTTGGTGGAAACGTAAAGTTGTACAGTCACTATGGAAAACAATATGGAGGTTCCTCAAAAAGCAATATGGAGGTTCCTCTAAAAACTAAAAAAAAACCTACCACATGATTGAGCAATTCCACTGCTGTGTATAAATTCAAGATAAAGGAAATCAGTGTATCAAAGAGATGTTTGCATCTCCATGTTTATTTCATCACTATTTACAACTGCCAAGAAATTGAATCAATCTTAGCATCCATCAATGGATGAATGGATAAAGAAATGTGCTATATGTACAGAATGGAATATTATTCAGCCATAAAAAAGAATGAAATTCTGTCATTTGCAGTAACATAGATGGAGCTGGAAAATACTGTGTTAAGTGAAATGAGACAGGCACAGGAAGACAAATATCGCATGTTCTCATTTATATGTGGGAGCTAAAAACTTGATCTCATGGAGGTAGTAAATAGAATAGTGGTTACCAAAGTCTGGGAAGGGTAGTGGAGAGTGGGAGATGAAAAGTGTTATTAATAAGTAAAAAATTCAATTAGATAGAAGGAATATGTTCTAGTGTTTGATAGCACAATAGAAAAACTATAGTTAAAAATAATGTATTGTATATTTATAAATAGCTAAAAGAGTTTTGAAATATTCTCAACACAAAGAAGTGATAAATGTTTGAGGGGATGGATATCTCAATTACCTAGATTTGATTATTACACATTGTATATAGGTATCAAAATATCGTACGTACTCCATAAATACGTACTACTACTATGTATCCATAAAAACTTTAAATAAAAAGTTAAATTATAAAATTATTTGCAATTTTACTGATAACAAGGATAAGAAACTTTCTGCAATACATCCAGAGGTATTCATTTTCATGTGCTTTTATAGATAATACTTTAATTAACATATGAAGGGCATGATATGTTTTGTAAATATTAAGAAAATAGAATATAGGATAGAAATATGGAAGTATATGTATTGGAACTAATATAAATAGAAATTTATATATAAAGAATAAAAACCATTATTTAGTGTTACCTAGCATTAATTGGTGTATTGATACAAGATTGATGTTCAAGTCAAACTGAAAAGTAATATTTTATTACTAGAAGATAACTCATTTTGTTTGAGAGAGCAGTGCTATTTGTTTCAGAGAATTAGTTCAATGTTTTAAAAAAAAATACTCTCCCTCCCCTTCCCCCCAGCCTCAAATACCTAATGCCTGCAGGGCTTAAAACCTAGATGACTGGTTGATAGGTGCAGCAAACCACATGGTACATGTATACCTATGTAACAAACCTGCACATTCTGCACATGCATCCCAGAAATTAAAGTAAAATAAAAAATAAATTTTAAAAAGACAAAATAAAGGGAAAAAGCTGCTTATAGAAATAAAGGTTTCCAAATTGTTAATTAAAATAATATCCTAATTTCTACAAATCTTGTCTCCATGTATCATTCAGTATAATTTATAACCACCTTATTCTACAGTTTGCATTTCTATCCTAAACTTCTCACTCTTTCTAAATATTCTATGATCCTACATTCCCCCATGCTTTTATATTTTGTTATTGCAGGATGGGAAGTTCCTTAATTACATTTCCCCCACACATATAGAAATATTGACTACCCTTTAAGACATATCTCACAATGTCTAGTCTTCCAAAATGTCTTTGCTGATTCTTAATTAAGACCTTTCTTTTTAGCTCCTTTGTAATGGTGGGGTTTCCCAGAAGTCAAGTTTCCTCAGTGGTGACATAAATCTACTGTGTGAGAAGCATCTACCTGGACCAACCTACAAATCAGCCCCCTGGGGAAGTGCTTCCTGCTGTGAGAAATAAATCCAGGAATTCTGGGTCTTCTGTCTGCATCTATGAACCTGTGCAGGCTAATTTCTTAGTTTCCAAGTAGAGTAAAATCTCAGAACCCACAGTTTCTGATAATACATACCCATATATTTTCTAAATTTTTCTGTTGAGATGACCTACAACGAAGGAAATAAAATAATCCTGATCGTGCCTAGCATATAGATTGTGATGTTTACATACTCTTCCACATTCAAAGGAAGCATGGCTTCTTTAAGAAAATGCTGCATCTAGTGCTGGTATCCTGACAGATATTAGAGAGGAAAAATCTTCCTAATGCACAGAGAAATTAAGGAAGTGCTAAAAAATGATGGTAGCAACCTTAACAAAGTGATTATATTTTAACATTACTAATTTGAGAGCCAGTCAATATCACTTGTCTCCCAATACCTGTATACGACACTGAGAAGGACACATCACTTTAGTAGAATTCCTGCCTAAATTATATCACCTAAATGTAATCATGTGAAAATATCAATACAAGACATCCTGCGATATAAAAGGCCTGTGCGTTAAGAAAAATAAAGGTCACAGAAAAAAGAAACTCTGAGGAATCAGTCTAGACAGAATGAGCCTGTATCATAATTACCCATTATAGACTGGGTATTGATGGCCTGCCAAGTCATAATGTCTACTGAGCCCAGCATCAGATGGAAATGGTACAACTTAGATTAAGCATGAATAGGACCGGAGGAGGCACGTAAGCTACATGAGCTGGTAGCCAAGACTGCCATGCATTTGTATCATTATCCTCCCAGGGCTTGGACTTATTGCCACATTGGGTGGTCCATCTGAGTAGCTGAAGATGGATGTAAAGCCCCAGCTAGGTTTATGGGTGGGTTGGCCTAATATGGATGAGCAAGCTGAAAAAGTATAGCAGCAGCCTCACAACCATATTCTAGTATGGCCCTGAGTGATATTAGAGGAGGGAAATCTTCCTAACAGGCAGAGCTGAGAGCAGTGCACCTGGTCACCTACTTTGTACGTAAGAAGACGTGGCCTGAGGTGAGAAAATATATATATATATGTGTATATATATATGTGTGTATATATATATGTATATATATATGTATATATACACATATATATTCTCAGTAAGTGGCTATATATATATATATACACATATATATATATATATATACACACACATATATATATATATATATATATATATATTTATATTTTCTCAGTAAGTGGCAAATGGCCTAACCTGGTCAGGGGCCTAGAAGACAAAAGCCTAGAACACTGGAGGAAACAAAGTCTAGGATAAAATTTCATGTGCAAATATATGGAAGTGCTCAGAAAGTATGAAAATGTTTATATCACATATTAATGTCCAAATATCTATCTATCTCTCTATCTATACCCAAATGAACAAGTGCTGGGCATCTAGTAGACCAGAGGTCAGCAAATATTTTCTGTAATGGACAGATAACTATTTTAGGTTTTTCAGGCTACATATTATCCCTGTCACATATTTGTTTTTGTTGCTTGTTTGTTTACAAGCCATTAAAAATATGAAAATCATTCTTAATTCCTGGTCTGTAAAAAAATAGGATATAAGCTAAATTAGGCCTGTAGATCATAGTCATCTGACTCCTGAAGTAGACAGATGGCTCAGTCAGTTGACATTAGCCAGCCTTTGTCATCAGCCACCTTAGAACTAGCACTATGGACAAATAAATCATGTGGCCACAGTGGCTGAAAGGGAGGCCAGGAATGCAGGTGGTAGGGAGGAGATAATCCCTGATGAGTTGAAGAAGAATATTTTGGGAAAGGACATGTAAATTAAACTTGGTAGCTTTTACATTGGGTTGCTTGGGGAAAAGCCTGATGGTCGAAATGTAATGTATATTGTTTTTTAAAAAATTGAATATTATTATCTTTGACATGTGATTAGAATTATAAAGAAATTCTAATGTGTTATAGTATTAATCACAATTGCCTTTAGATGCATATTTACCATAGTCTACATTTCTTGCTTACTCAATTCTTGCTTCCTTCTCTACTTGAATCTTCTTTTAGAAGCATAAACTGAGTTAACAACCTGATAAATGAAGTAAGTTCTATTTACCAACTTGGAAAATTATACCTGTGTGAGTACACAATACTTGGATTCACTGACATGCCAAAATGAACATTATGGGGTTGTAAGAGTTGGACTCCAACACTTTTCTCCTCACTCTAGTTTTTTTTTCCACATCCTGAGGTGCCTTGCAGACATGTATATGGGCACCCATATCTGCCCACAATCTTAAAAACAACCACGATTGGCCAGGTGTGGTGGTTCACACCTGTAATCCTAGCACTTTGGGAGGGCGAGGTGGGCGGATCACTTGAGGTCAGGAGTTCAAGACCAGCCTGGCCAACAGGGTGAAACTTCGTCTCCACTAAAAATAAAAAAAATTAGCCGGGCACAGTGGCATGTTCCTGTAATTCCAGCTACTCGAGTGACTGAGGCAGGAGAATAGCTTGAACCCAGGAGGGGAGGTTGCAGTGAGCCGAGATTGCACCACTGCACTCCAGCCTAGGTGACAGAGTGAGAATTTATCTCAAAAAAAAAAAAATCTTCTTCAAAATACTTATTAATTACTCTGATGTTTGTAACAAATATCTGCCAATTCTTTGGTACTGTTCCTTCCAGGATATGGAGTTCAGCATCCTGGAAGGAGCTGAGTATAGGCTTGACTGAGTATAGGTTTAGCTTACAACTCATTTACGATGAAATGGGTATGGACATAGACAAATGTTGATTCTCCAGCCTCAGCCCCCTGAGTAGCTGGGATTGCGGGTGCCCACCACCACACCAGGCTAAGTTTTTGTATTTTTAGTAGAGATGGGGTTTTACCATGTTGCCCAGGCTGGTCTCGAACTCCTGACCTCAAGTGATTTGCCCACTTCGGCCTTGCTGGGATTACAGGCATGAGCCACCACACCCAGTCCTTTTAAAAAAAAAAAAATTCCCTAGTGCCGTTTAACTTATGAGCAGTTACAGATACAAATATTTTGAAATAACATCGGTTCCTCTATGCAGAGTATTGTAGCCAATTTTTAATGTTTTACTTGTTCTTGCAATCTATTCAATACCTCATTACAAATATTTCCTGATCACCCATTGTATATAAGACATGTTCTAGATAGAGGTGACATACTATGTGCTGGATTCAAAGCAATGAAAGAGCTTGCATATTTTCATTAGGAATCTACCATTTGGAGTACCTTCAAATTGCAATATCACTGAGCCATAGGCTATCTTTTGACAGATTTCAACAGTTAAGTTCTATATTCAGACTCAAAACACACAAATGTGAAATATTTTTGTTTTCTTCTTATGTGTGCAATGTTATTAATGCAAATATGCAGATGAGAGTAATCTACTTTATCGAAAATACACAGGGAAGCAAGACCTTGAGAAACTGGGGATTCCTGCTATATTCCACAAGGCCATAAAGAAGATACCTTATTTTTTACAGACATTAAGAATAAAATGTCTTTAGAACAGGATGATTAATTCTATTCTAGGAGAGAAATAAATCCACTTATGTAAAACAAGAACAGTTTTACTTTGTGGATTTTGAGTATTGGACATATTGGTGTTAGACCAACAGATGAGTAAATTAAGCTGAATACCAAAAAAATAATAAGTATCTAAAAATTTTGTTAAATGCAATGTTGATCAGGTCAAGGGTTTTGAGAAAGACAAATTTGAAGCATAAAAAGCAGAACTATTTTTGAACCTCATATTTATGCATGAGTGTACTGTATTAAGGAAATGGTCAAAAATTAAGTTACAAAATTTGTCATAATAAAAGGTTATAAATCAAGACTATTCACAAGATCAAAGAGGAAACAAAATGTTAGAAGACAAAGTTTTAGAGATTTAAAGTGTCCTGGGTAAGTCTCCTAATGGTTTTGAAGTACATACCAAGTGTTTCTTAATTTTAGTCTTGTCACTCTTTTTTTTTTTTTTTTTTTTTTTTGGTGGAGTCTCACTCTGTTGCCCAGGCTGGAGTGCAGTGGCTCTATCTTGGCTCACTGCAACCTCTGCCACCTGGGTTCAAGTGATCCTCCTGCCTCAGCCTCCTGAGTAGCTGGGATTACAGGCTCCTGCCACTGTACCCGGTTAATTTATTTTTTTTTTGTATTTTTAGTATAGATGGAGTTTCATCATGTTGGTCAGGCTGGTCTTAAATTTCTGACCTCGTGATCCACCCGCCTCAGCCTCCCAAAGTGCTAGGATTACAGGCGTGAGCCAACGAGTCTGGCCAACTTGTCGCTCTTAATTGCATAATTAATAAGGCATTTTAAGTACCCTCAGGAAAAAGAGTTGGTAAACATTATAGATTTTCACCAGGGTGCCACTTTATTATAGTTTAATTACTTTGGAGATGCTTATAGACAGAGTTTTCATGAAGATGAGCCTCAATGCAGTTGGGTGGGACCAGAAATTCCTCTATAACAATTCATTTTTGTCAACACACAGATGAAATAAACAAGATCTAAGTGAGATAATGAAGCTCACGTAATTTTTTTTCTAGGTGACATCTCTTCCTTTGCACATAATGTTTGGTTTCCAGTAATAGCAGCATCTTCCAGCGCCTATTCTTTCTATTTAAAACAGGATGCTTTCAAAATGGGACTTTTCAAGGTTAAACTTTTCTATTTCTAGCATAATGTTTTAAAAGGTCTTATATATTTCACTAAAAAATAATTGTTGCAAGAATCTGGAAGGAGCAGTAGGACATCTTCTGGGAAGGGAATCATGTCTATTGTCCCTGAAATAATATGTGCATTCCTGACCTTGTGGGTATACTTGCTTTAATCTACTTTCATTTTTTGAGAGGGTTGGGTGAAAGGTCTATCTGTCCTTATCTGACCTGTGGTGCTCAGCTTTACTGATTGAAAATAAATCTCACCTGCATCTGCCTGCTTCTTATCATCCTCCTATTGCTTTTTTTCTTTCCCTTCCTGAAAAAAGTCATTTGCCAATATCTACTTCAAATGCTAAAGCCTAGTGTTACCCTGCTTCCACTCACAGTACACTTGAGCAGGGAGCGGATGATGTGCAATCGCATTCTTAGGTATGATGCTGGATTAGGGCAGAACTGCTAGAATAAAATTCCCCTGGAAGATCACAGGGCACCAGATCTTATAAATAAAGATGTTCTTTAAATAAAAATAAAATAAATTAAAATGTATCCAGTCTCATAAGTTGTTAAAAAATCAATAACATTGTATTTTAAATCAGTAACTTGCCTAACATTATTTAAATTATTCAGAATATTCTTCATATGAAAAATAACTTTAATTAAAGTTAATATAATCAACTTTGGTGAATCTATAAAATGTCGCTGTCAGTTGGTAGATTATTATAAATATTTTTATTAACTTATAGATAAACTTATTTACATTCTATAAATAATAACTTTACTAAAATTTATTTGAAAACTGTATGTTATGAAATTTTTATGTTTGAAAATAAGCAATTAAATTTCCTATTGAATGTGCAAATGTGAAAAATCTGTGTAAGATGAGATAAATGAATAAGCTTGTGCAATAAATACATGTATTTCAAGATGTATAGAAAAATTATACCTGGTTGTGTTTGTTGAGAAATTAATTTCTTTAAGTGACATTTTATGTTTTAGGATGGACAAGTCAGGAAAGAGTCCTGTAACCTTTATTACTCAATTAAGATATAACATCTGAATTCCTCCAGGATGGATTGAGCTAGAAATGTCAAAAGAGCAAGGGGCAGCTAGTGGTATATCATGAAATCATGGGTGAAATGTTAATCAATGCAATTCTCTCATGAAGATAAGTGGTGATTGGAGGAATATATGGCAATGATATAAGAAAAATGGCTAGTGAGCAGAACAAATGGTATTGTTTATGGGGAAATAATCCTAATCATAATAAACTATAAGTAATAGATCATTTAATCTCGGCAAACACATTGTGAACTATTTCGCGTATGTTATCTCATTAAATTATTGCACCAAACTTATAATTAAAATAAACAACTAAAGAAACTAAGACTTAGGGAATTTAAATAAAGTATCCATGTTCTCAGAATGGTTTTGAACCTAGAATTTATTCTAGACTTTTCACTATCCAGTGTATACACACAACTGATATGCTAGTGCCTCCTTAGCCACCACAGCACACTACAGTCTTCTATTTGTATTTTTTCACTAATATTCTATATTCTACATATCTTGATAGAGCAAATATGATCTCAGATATTTTCTACAGTTTGGTATTTTATATTCAGATATTTTGTACAGTTTGCTAAAATTAATTTGCACTAATAAATTAATTCAATGCAACAAATACTTTTTTTTCTGGCACAAATGTTGTTTAATCCAATGCTGTCTACTTATTGTCTGAATCCCTGAAGCTGCAAGTGGCCTGTGTAATTAATATACAGGAGACTATGCTTAAGGAACATGCCTTAAAATTATAATTATCAGATTCAAGTTGATACAGTGTCATAATCACATGACATTTCCCTAGTCTATTTCTACGCTACTCGCCATAATAATTTTATACTTTTTTTCTTTGCTTCAAACTTTCATCATCTCTTTTTCCATCCTCTTACTCAGCTGAAATTGTTGCTTCCTATTTCACAATAGAAAGAAACAGGAGTTAGAAGTGGGTTTCCCAATGACTTACCATCACGTCTAACACTTCACCTCTTATCTGCATTCGTATCTTACTTCTCAAGTATTACTATGAGTGAATTGCCCAAGTTCCTATTCAAAGAAATACCTTCATTTTATTTTTGCACAAGATCCAACATTCTTGTTTTTAAAGGATAAACTCTGGCAATGTTCCTTTCTCACCTGTATCATGGATTTCCTCCTTGTGACCTGAATCAATGTAATCGTCATACAAACATGCTTAACTTCTTCCCTTAAAAAAGGCCATCTCCAACACTGGCCCATTTCTCCATTCTTTGCTCATTCTGGTTTGAAAACTCAAGCATCTGTCCTTGTCAGTCCACAGAAACTGACATCCATTTTGTTAAGTTGGATGGTCAATTCTCAGCTACATTATTTGCCTTCATTTAGCAGCTTTAGAACTCCCAGCTCAATCTGTCCTCGTTGAAGCTTTTTTTTTTTTTTAACTACCACAATAATACACCATCTTGATTTTACTTCAAATTCACTGAGTGCTTTTCTTTTTCATTTGGTAATAAAATAAAATTCCCTTGAAGTAAGTTTTATTGTGGTTTATCCATGATTTGAGTTGGCTTAGATTTGTGTATACTTAATTTAACATTACAAACAAATGAAGTATGAATAATTAAATATATATTTGGAAAAGTATGATTAGAAATAATAGAAATCTAACATAATTTTTCCTAGACTTTTTCTCAAATATACCATATACTTATTAAAGAGGATAAGTGTAAAATCTAAAGAACATGACAAATAGCCTCAGGATTGAATGCCAAGTGATTCCATGTAGAAAACATTTATAATATATACACTTGTGTGCATATGACTAAGAGATTATATGCACACAGGTGTAAATATTATGAGTGTTCTAGATATAAAATAAAAGTATACAAGTAATATAGGCATTATGTATTAATTAACAAAATCTTATCTTACATTAGAATTATATTGCACATATATTCATGTTGCTTATTTGACATCAGCACAACCAAATTTTCTCTCTTACCTTTCACATGAGTTTCTAAGAATTCAGTTCTTCCCCATACTAAATCTGCAAGACTAAGTTTTTCTAAATTAAACTCATTAACTTTATTAATATTAAATTTGGCTTTCGTATCTTTAGTCTATTTAAAACTTTAAACATAAATGTACTAGTCTTCATAATAACTCTTCCACATATTTGATAATCCTACATTTGTTATTATTTACAGTAATAATAAAACAACTTGATAGAATACTGTCAAAGAATGACTACCAGTAAATATCACAGGCAAAGTTTGTACAGGTCGAATCGTTAATTATATGTCTTCAAAGATTTAAATCTAGTTAAATGTACAAATTAGTTGATTGTACTATTTTCTAGCTTGGGGGTTGTTCTTTCTATACACAAACAACTTTGTATCAATAATCTTGTCTAAAACAAAATAAATAATATTTTGGTATAACTTTTTCTTTAAGGAACAAGTTATAGCTTATTTATTGTTTCTCTCTTCTAAGTATTTACACTATTTCTACATTTGTTCAATTTTTTAATTCACTCAACAAAATGGATTCACTACCTACTATGTGTGAAATTCTACTGTTGGTATAAATGAGGTCTCTATTATCATGTACTTTATCTTCTAAAGTAAAGGTATATGTCAAAATAGTTTGACACTAATAAGCTCACCCTGAATTGCTTATATGAGGAACATTGATATTTATTTGGCAAAATGTATTGGTCTGCAGGCTTTCTTTTCCTGATAATATATTTCATACTAAAAAATAAACTCTTACATTTGGTACATTACTTATAACCCTTTATTATGTAGATTAATTTCACTTCTCCTCAACTAGGAAGGCCATAGATTTTTTTTCCATAAAAAATAAGACAAATCATAGTAAGTATATAAGTCTTTAAGTAGTTGTACATTGGAATATTCATCAATTATATTTTATATTACATAATGAAACACACCTTATCAATGACTGATGACCAAATAGATATGTAGATAAGGGAACAGAGCACCAGAACATCTCTCTGTCTTTTTATATCCCTCTTTCTTTCTTTCATATGATATTTGAAATGTAGAGATTCATATTAAATAGTTAAAAAAATGTCTTTTTGTCTTCCTGTGTAATCCACATTCATTTTAGTATCAGTTACCTGCCTATAACAAAGTATTGTTGGTTTGGACTAATTTTATTTTTATTAGTATGATCATTGTTATTGTTGCTCTTGACCCTCAAGAGCTTTTTATGTGTCCATCAATGCTCACTTTATTCATTAGACTAATCAACTGTATAATTGTCAACTAAGTGTAGAAGTTTTAGACAGATATTTGACTCATCTGTTTAGCTGGATATATTCTGAAAATGAACGCTGGAAACATCTGCACTCCTAAAGAGATTTCCCAGTGCAGTGAAGTTTAACTGCAATTGTTGGATGCCTCTAAATTTGCCTGTAACTGACTGAGGAATAGAGAATGATCTTTAAAATGTTTCTAATAAAATTATTCTGAAACACCACAGGTAGAGTTTCTAGAGAAGTTGGATTGTATTTCAGTCTAAAATAAATTATTATTATTATTATTATTATTATTATTATTATTATTATTATTGAGATGCAGTTTCGCTCCTGTTGCCCAGGCTGAAGTGCAATGGCTCACTCTTGGCTCATTGCAACCTCTGCCTCCCAAATAGCTGGGCAGAGGTTCAAGTGATTCTCCTGTCTCTGCCTCCCAAATAGCTGGAATTACAGGTGTGAGCTACCACATCCAGCAAATTTTTATATTTTTAGTACAGACGGGGTTTCACCATGTTGGCCAGGCTGGTCTCGAACTCCTGACCTCAGGTGGTCCACCGGCCTCGACTTCCCAAAGTGCTGGGATTACAGGCGTGAGCCACTGCACCTGGCCAATTATTTTCCTTTATGATTTTTTAAAACCACATGCTACTGTAGTTGTTTATTTGTCTTTATCTTTCTTTTAGAATATAACATGCCATTCTTTGCTATTCAACCTATAATTATGCTCTTTTATTAATTTTTCTGATGATTCTTGTTTAGTTTTGCTTCCTATTGCACAGTAACTTGGTGAAGCATACCCTTCAGAGCAATGAACATATAGTATAGCATGAAATGGTGGAGGTTGTTAGGTGAACATTTGAACTCAGATTACAATTGTGTGGGAACCGGAAGACAAGCATAATCTGGTGTGATGAAGCTTAGCAATGACATGGCTGTCAGAAAAGTCAAACTCTTTGAGAAGTGCCAAGGGTAAATGGGAGAGAATTATCCACAATATATGCTGCAGCAAAGAATAGAGAATGCAATTTTATGAGAAAAAAATGGTTATAAAAGAAAGAAATAGGCTACTTTATGAGAAGAATGAAAATATCTATTGTCTAAAATTTTGTAACAATCATAATCAATGAGACCTTTTCTGCTGTCATGAAATTAGAAGCACCTGCTGTTGCTGGTAGTAACAATTCCTGACCCTAATATGTCAAATAGATTTTTCAAGCATTGAAAATTACTGTTGTCATGGAGAACTGCAACTGCCCATGAATAAAATAACTTTTTTTGTAATATTAAGAACAGTTTAAAGTGTTGCTTTTTAATATGTTACCATCACCAAAGACAATTACTTATGTCTCTGTGATAAAGTTTGCTGTGCAATCTAATAATTTTTACTATATGAGAAAAATTAATCTAGTCAATATTCTGTAGTTGGGTAATTGATTTTAAATTATGCATTGTTTTCAATGTTTCAATTTTGTATCAGTTATGTAAGGTAGTGTATCTATTACCATTAAAATGACTTAAGCAGCATTTCAAAGGAAATAGCTTTGATTAATTAGATATAAATTGTATTTTTTTAAAAAAACAGTAAATGATATGAGGTTAAAAGAATAACATTTAGATGAGATAAAAAGGTTAAAATGTATATGATTATGAAGCATTAAATTTAGTGGAGCACTATGTTAAAGTTAATATTTTTCTTGTTATTTTTTGCAACACAACATGAAAAAAGGGTATGTTTAAGAAATTAGTTTCTTTTTGCTATTATAATTGAAGATGTTAAAAAATTTGAAAGATAACAAATAGCACAATTGAATAAACACAGCTATCAATGTAAGTCATTTATTTCTAGTTTATCCATTCAGTATAAATATATTGAGCAACTAACGTGTCACTGGCAGATATGGCACTGAACAAATCTGAAAAAATATCTCTGCCCTTATGGGTCTTACATAATTTTATTACATATAATTATATGTTAATTAGTTACATTTTACACTAAATATTTTTATTATTATTTCTTTGCCAGAGACATATTTGGTATTAGATTGTAAAATCTATGAAACTTACTATTATAATACACATCACTCCAAAACATTCTATACCTCAATTGTGACACTGGTTACATGGATATATATACTTGCCAAAAGGCATTAAATGGCATGGTTAAAACTTACAATTAAACTTAATTATTAGAACTATAAAATTAAAATTACATTTAAGGTACGTAAATTACAACTCAGTAATGTAGTTTTGTAAATACTTGATGAAAATATTTTTATTTATTTATATACAATAGTAACTACTTACATACACATATCTAAATTTCACATATACATATATACATTTATATATACATATATAGAAATTATATATATATAGAAAAAATTTTAAAAAGAGAGTGAGGAAATATATTTTGATAACATTTGGGAATTCTAGGTCAAAGTGTATTTGTTGTATGTATCTTAAGGTTATCACTTATATTTAAAACAAAGTTACTTTATCTCTGTATGCCCTTCAGATTCCCACTATTACTTTACTGAGGTTATTAACAGACAACATGGGAAAGGCCTCATATGAACTTTGGATGATTTATATAAAAACAAAATTCTATTGTCTTGCTAGGGTTATAGTTACCTTTCATTAGATCTTTCATGTTTAGGAATATTTTATAAAATATTTTTGCAAAGAAGTTAAGAAAAATAATTTTTTTTCTATCTATTTGATACTCATTAAGCTCTCAGTTATATTGTTTAAAAAAACCTACAAGGGACATATCTTAACTGTGAGTAATGACAGAACCATTTCAAAAGAGAATTTATAGCTGAAGCCTCTGAGAGTAGCTAAGTCTGTGCCACAAATTATAAATGATCGGGATTAAGAGTAATCAAGGCAGAGAAGAAGCAATACAGAAGCTGTTGACCTGACTCCTTTTCACTGATTCAAATAAACCAGTATGACCCAGAAACAGACTTATCAGCATTACCCTGAGATAAGAATGATTCAAATGTCACAATACTAACAAATGAAATAGGAAAGAAAACATATTTCTATTGTTTTCTTAAGATTGTTTTAAAAAGTAACACAAGGCCTTACGTCATAATTACATAAAAGTGAAGGCAGGAATATGTCATGTCATATGAGAAAATAGACAAGAAAATCAGTATGGGTTACTGAGAACAAGCTTTCCAAGACATGAATAATTATAATTTTTAGTAATACCAATTTCCTATCCTGGCTCTGTTGCTATAAATTACCCGTTGTCTCTTTTTTAGTCCCTTTGTTTCTACTTCCCACTCCCTCTTCTGTATCCCATTAAATATCGACTTGTACTTCAGAATGTAGCTCATCTCTTTTCTCCTCCAGGAAAGCTTTCTTGCTGCATTCAACCTCCAGCTTGTGCCTGGATACCCTTTCATCCTGTTTGTGTCCATGACACACTGTGCACATTCTTTGCCCAATATACTTTTCATATGGTATTGGAGTTGTCTCTGTGTGAGGGATCTGTGTCCCTCAGTAGCAGGGAACTCCTTAATTAAGGTATTTTTCAAAAAGCAACTTCCAGAATGCCTTCCCTCTTATTTTCTAAGTAACGTATTCTTTAGACCACTTTTAGGCACATTGCAGTTTGTTTTCATTTATTTACATTATAGAGTATGATCAATTGTTGTGGAAGTCTGTCTTGTTTCTTCCATTTCCAGTGCTTCACACAGTGTCGGGCACACAGTACACACTTCAATATTTGTTGAATGAATATGCAAATGAAAGAGTACACCGTAACTTTTTTATCATCATATGTCCAGCGACACCTTTTTATCTAATGCATAATAGCTATCTTAATGGTAAAAAGACTTGTGTGAAGTATTAGAAACAAGAAAATTAAAACTTATTTTTGATTTGTTTGTTTGTTTTTAATTTCCCTGCCTCAGCCTGCCCAGTAGCTGGGACTACAGGTGTTCTCCACCATGCCCAGCTAATTTTTTGTACTTTCAGTAGAGATGGGTTACACCATGTTGGCTAGGCTGGTCTTGAACTTCTGACCTCAAGTCATCTGCCCGCCATGGCCTCCTAAAGTGCTGGGATTACAGGAATGAGTCACCATGCCTGGCCGGAAATTATTGTTAATATATAATTCAACTACTTGAATATGTAAATTACCAGATGGTATATCAGTAGAGGCAGAGAATAAGCTGATACCTAAACCCTGGGTTATATAATATATACTATATTTTCATCTAATTTTATTTACCAGTTAACATCCTAATGCCTGATTTCTCCATTACAAAATGGACTCAGTTTTACAGCTGTCTTCTAAAAAATCATAGAGATTACCAACTATGTAAAATATTAAAATACTTTAGAAAACATTTATTCCAACCCTATTATATTAAAATGAGTAAATTTAGATTCACTGTGATAGGTAATAGCTACCACTTATATAGTACATTTCAGCTGTTAAAAATTGTTTGTAGATTACCTTATCATCTGGGTTTCACATAATCTTAGAGGAAAACCAAAGGACCTGACCAAAGTACCATGAATACATGAGTAGATATTTGAGATGTTTTCTACTTTTTGCTATTTAAATATATTTGAAATGATTATTTCTGAACAAATTTCTCCGATGGATTTCTAGATCTCTTTCAGCTATTTTAGAAATAAAATTAAATTATAAAAAATGAATATAAAGTTTTTGAAATTGTTCAGTGTTGCCCTTTACAGATTAATCTATTAACATTGTAGGTTTTGAATCATAAAATATCATTAATAGAACAAAATAGAACATGCTCTTTTTTTCAACATTATTTGTCTTTTACATACTTTCAGATAAATTCAATATTCATTTTACATTTTCATTGAAGCAGATATATTTGCATGGTAACTGAAGTATAGTATGAAATTTTCCACTTCTTTAAGGTCTTCTTGCATAAATAACTTATAATGATAACAGGGACAACAAAGCAACATTTTTAAAATATGTAATAAACACATAAAAACTGTCATACAAGGTCTCTTTAACTACTTTCAAGAGTGAATATGCTTATACATTTTTTAAATTTCTACATAGTTTTTTATTTTTTACAAAATTTTAATTGTAGATATTTTTAATTTAATAAGTACTTTCATTGACATCATTTCTAATGTCTACTTCACACCTTCACAAGAACACATCATAAATCAGATAATGACTTTTGTATTGCTAAACTGAAAGAAAAACAGAGTACATGTACCAAATTGCAACAGTGTTTTTCAGTAAGTTAGGGGATTTTGTTGATTTATGTGTTTCCTTTATTTTTTCTGTTTTCAATATTGAAAATATTAACAATTTAATCCAAGTAATTTTAAATATACTTCATTGATATTTCTAAGTAAAACAAATATATATTAAAACATAACTATAAATTTTAGTAAAAGAGCTAGGACTCAGTTTTGGAATTAAAGTAGCTAAATTTTAATAGGGAAAACATTTTTCAAAGTAAGTGACACAAAGCTCTTGAATTAAAATGACCGAGGATGAGTGAAACAGAGCATAGAATAAATCTTCTCAAACGAAATAGCAGCACTCTGGAGGATTACTGCCATGCTCTATTTCTTTCAGTTTGTTCCTGTGTTCTATCATTGTAATACAGACATAGTCGGTAGTTGGTCTCAAATGAATTGGTTAAAATGCCTAACTGGAAGAAAAATGTATACAAAAATTGAATAATTTCTAACTGCTTATTAATGTCAAATGCTCAAAATTTCACAATTTGAATATGCTGAACGGAAATGAAAGGTATATTTTATACATGCTAATAATTTCCATGGTTTATACAAGTAAAATATTTAGACCAACCAAAATTTTATATGGCTGAAAAAAATCCACAACCTTTGACTAAGAGCAAACATGTAGTTATCATCTTTTATGCATGTATATAGCATTAAAATACATGCATATAGAATTAGCATGTTGAGGAATGGATCATGTTATGAAAGAAAATATGGTGGATAAAATGGTCAAAATATTAAAATGTATAATATTAGTTTGGTGCAAAAGTAATTGTGGTTTTTGGGATTGAAAGTAATGGCAATGCTTTAGTTTCCCCTCATCATTGAACTGCTGTATTCCAAAAAAATTACCAAAAGGCAAATTAAAGTGCTATTAATTACAGTCAGGGTTCAGCCTATTTTTATAAATGCTTTTTTTTTTTTGGTAAACCACTCCCTTATTTCCTTCAGTGACATTTCAGCTTCCCTATGCAATTATGACATTTTCTAACATATTTAGAGATAATAAGACTGATTCCCCAACTAGAGAGTTTGTCTCTGTTATTTGAACAGCACAGTGATACTGATCTGTCCAGACACCAGTAATCACGTCTACCTATTAACATTTACTTAGACAAATTACAAATTTAGATACAAAGTATTTAATTAAATCATCATCCATATATACACATTTATAAGCTGCTGATATGTTATAGATATTACAGTGCACTTCATCTAACGTGAATTTATTGTTTCAAAGGTGCAGTCTCAAAGGACTAATGCCCTTATTTGCTGAAATGCAAAGCAACAGTTCTATGGATCCTTCCAACCTCGTTAAAACCTTTAAAAAGTCTGTAATCAGTAACCATGGAGACTTATCTCCACAGAAACAATACTCTCAAATTAGTTGTGAAAGGAGGTCAACTAGAGGAACACAATTTCTCTTTTGTTTTACCTTTCTAGGTTGCAGACACAAACACAAGACAAATTATATTCTAACAATTAAAGATAATGTTAATTGAGCATATATATATTGCCCTAAATATTTAATCTTCACCTAAAAATTTCAGGAAAACTTCGGTAACATTGATATATTCCAAGTGAACTCTTAGGTATTTCATATTGTGATTCATAGTGCTAATTCCCATATACTTGAAACCAAGGCAATATAAAGCCAAATCCATGTTAAATGGGTATCTGGGATTAAAAAATGTTTATCAAGGATCAGTACTTAAATGCCTTAATTAAAAATGAACTCAAAAATTTTTTTCCGGGAATAACTACTTATCCAAAGGTTGAAATAATTTTTAAGTTTTAGAATACCGTTTAGCATAATTTTTAACTTAAGATACAAATATTAATAAATGGTATTTAAATCACAGACTATAATCTAATTAGAAAACTTCTACCTAAAATATTTTAAAGGATCATGCTTGAAATCTAGCCACAAATACTGAATTACAATAAACCACAAAATAATAAAATCATCACAGATCCAAATATATGCAGATATTGGTTAAAATGGCAGATTTGTGCAAGATTAAATCTTAAAACCATATGCTTTATTAACAACAGATGTGACATTTAACAACTGTGCTCTAATTAGCTTCAAAACACACACTAATTCCCCTTTTAAACCACAATATCCATTAACATGGAGATGAACTAGTGCCCAAGGTCTCTTCTATTTTCCAAATAATTGTTTGAAATGCTGACAACTCTAATTGCTCTAAATATTTTCATTCTTCCCTCACGCAAAGCAAAGTGCAATTTAACTTTATTCTTCTTTAAATTTCAGGTGCCCAGGGTTAAATATGTTGGAAAACAGCAGTCCTCTCTTATGTGTGAGGGATACATTTTAAAAGCCCCAGTGGATACCTGAAACAAGTATAGTGTGGAACCTCATATGTACTATGGTTTTTTTCCCTATATATATGTGCTTGTGGTAAAGTTGAATTTATAATTAGGCACAGTAAGAGATAAACAACCATAATAATAGAATAATTATAACATAATACTGTAATAACAGGTATTTAAAACATAACTTATTTATTTCTGGAATTTTTTACCTAATAATTTTGGACTATGATTGACCATGGGTAACTGAAATCACAATAAGTGAAAACATAGATAAGGGCTGCCCATGATATTAATGCAGAAGAATATACAATATGTATCATGAAAAAATTCATAGAAGCTCAAGCAATAAAATATTAAGTTGTAATATTTTAAGACAATACAGCGCCTAATCAGCAAAAAAAATTATACAACCTACCTTTAGACTTTATGTGTGTTTGTGTGTTTGTGCTATTTGCAGATTCAATAGATGATAGATCAATCATACACAGCCAAACTGCTAAAATAAAATATACTTCTAAAACAATAGCATTACAACAATCTAGCTGTTTTTAATAAAATATTTAATTATCAAGCATATGAAAACATAACACATGTGCAGACATACACATGCATACACACATAGGGAAAAGACTGTAAAGTACATAATAAACAGAGGTAACAAAGATCTGAGGATAATGGATACATTTGATCCTAGATTAAACAGGTGATCTGAAGTGAGGATTAGATTCAAGTTGAATTTCTTATTGAAACTGAAAGACTATTTAATAAAAAACATGCAGTAGATGTAAATGTATAAGCATGCCAGAATAAATAAAATTTCATTTGTTCCTGAAACTAAAGTGTCAGGTCAATTTATTATTTTACGAAATAAAACTATTTATCTCCACAAATGTGTATGTGTTGAGTTCCTATTAAGTGGAGCAACAATTTAAAGTGGGTTAAAGATTCTAACCTATGGGTTCTGAACATTAATTTCAAATAATAACAAACATCTAAGGGTTAGCATTTGGTGAACGATATGAGTATACAGTGGTAAAATTGGGGTTTCTTTGTGATGATGGAAATTCTGTGTCCTGATTGTTATGGTGGTCACACAGATCAATATGTGTGATAAAATTTAAGAACTATACTAAAAATAAAAAACAAAGTAGAAGGAAGTGAATGTAAAACTGTTCAAATATAAATATGATTTTATTAATTCATTACATTTCATCAGTGTATATTTCTTGGTTTTGACAATGTAGTATAATTATGCAAGACGTTCTCATTGGAGAAATTTGAGTAATTGATACATGAGGTTCTCTGTGCTACTTTTTGTACCTTATGTGACTCTAAAATTTTTTTTATTAATTCTTTATATTTTAAACTGTTATTTATGTTCAGGAGTACATGTGAAGTTTTGTTACATAGGTAAATTCGTGTCACGTGGGTTTGTTGTACAGATTATTTCATCACCCAAGTATTAAGCCCAGTACCCAATAGTTATCTTTGGTTCTCTCCCTTCTCCCAACCTCTACCCTCAACCCTCCAGGAGACCCTGGTGTCTGTTGTTTCCTTCTTTGTGTTCATGAATTCTTATCACTTAGCTCCCACTTACAGGTGAAAACATGTGGTATTTGGTTTTCTGTTTCGGTGTTAATTTGCTGAAGATAATAGCCTCCAGCCCCATCCATGTTTCTGCAAAAGGCATGATTTCACTCTTTCTTAAGGCTGCATAGGATTCCATGATGTCTATTTACCACATTTTCTTTATGTAGTCTATTGTTTATGGGCATTTGAGTTGACTTCATGTATTTGCTATTGTGAACAGTGCTGTAATGAACATACATATGCTTGTGTCTTTATAACAGAAAAATTTATATTCCTTTGGGCATATACTCAGTATTGGGGTTGCTGGGTCAAATGGTAGTTCTGTCTTTAGAACTTTGAGAAATAGCCACACTGTCTTCAACAATGGTTAAATTAATTTATACTCCCAGCAACAGTGTATAAGCATTCCTTTTACTCCACCACCTTGCAAGCATCTGTTATTTTTTTTTACTTTTTAGTAATAGCCATTCTAGCTGGTGCAAGATGGTATCTCATTGTGATTTTTATTTACATTTCTCTATTGATTGGTGAGGTTAAGCTTTTCTTTTCATTTGCTTGTTGGCCACACATAAGACTTCTCAAAAGTGTTCATGTCCTTTGCTAATTTTTTCATGAGGCTGTTTTTTTCTTGTAAGTTTCTTAACGTTCCTTATAGATGTTGGATAGTGGACCTTTATTAGATACATAGTTTGCGTAATATATCTTACATCCTGTAGGGTGTCTGTTTACTCTGTTGATAATTTCTTTTGCTGTGCAGAAGCTCTTTTGTTTAATTAGATCCCATTTGTCACTTTTTGCTTTTCTTGAAATTGCTTTTGGTGTCTTCGTCATGAAATCCTTGCTCGTGCCAATATTCTGAGTGGTATTGTCTACTTTGTCTTCCAGAGTTTTTATAGTTCTGGGTTTTGTCTAGATTACCTGTCCAATGCTAAATGTGGAGTGTTAAGTCCCCAGATATTATCGTATTTGCATCTATTTCTCTCTTTAATAATATTTGCTTTATATATGTGTGCTCTAACATTGAGTACATATGTATTTACAATTGTTATATTATTTTGTGGGGATAATGTATTTATCATTATAAAATGACCTTCATTTTTCTCTTTCTACATTTTTTGTCTTGAAATCCATTATATGACTATGCCTATATTTTTTTGCTATTTGCATAGAATATCTTTTTTCCTTTTTTCACTTTCAATGTATGTGTGACTTTATAGGTGAAGTGATATTCTTGTGGACAGCTTATAGTTGGGTTTTTTTAAAATCAGTTCAGTAACTCCATTACTGAATAATTAAGTACATTTAGATGTAATATTACCGATAGGTAAGGACTTAATACTAGCATTTTGTTATTTTTTATTGTTTTGTTCGTTTTGTCTTATTTTCTTCCCTTCTGTATCCCTATGGGTAAAAGTTCTTCTCTGGTAGTATCGTGTCCCGAATTGGTGAGCTCTTGGTCTCATTGACTTCAAGAATGAAGCCGCAGACCCTCGCGGTGAGTGTTACAGTTCTTAAAGGTGGCGTGTCTGGAGTTTGTTCCTTCTGATGTTCAGATGTGTTCAGAGTTTCTTCCTTCTGGTGGGTTCGTGGTCTCGCCGGCTCACGAGTGAGAATGCAGACCTTGCAGTGAGTGTTACAGCTCTTAAGGCGGCGCCTCTGGAGTTGTTCATTACTAGTGGTGTGCTCCTGGTGTCTTTAGCTTCAGGAGTGAAGCTGCAGACCTTCGTGGTGAGTGTTACAGCTCATAAAGGCAGTCTGGATCCAAACAGTGAGCAGTAGCAAGACTTATTGCAAAGACCGAAAGAACAAAGCTTCCATGGTGGGGAAGGGGAGCTGAGCAGGTTGCCACTGCTCGCTGGGGCAGCCTGCTTTTATTCTCTTATCTGGCCCCACCCACATCCTGCTGATTGGTAGAGCCAAGTGGTCTGTTTTGACAGGGCGCTGATTGGTGCGTTTACAATCCCTGAGCTAGACACAAAGGTTCTCCACCTCCCCACCAGATTAGCTAGATACAGCGTGTCCATTGGTGCATTCACAAACCCTGAGCTAGACACAGGGTGCTGATTGGTGTGTTTACAAACCTTGAGTTAGCTACAGAGTGCCGATTGGTGTATTTACAATCCCTGAGCTAGACATAAAGGTTCTCCTCGTCCCACCAGACTCAGGAGCCCAGCTGGCTTCACCCAGTGGATCCCGCACAGGGGTGTAGGTGGAACTGCCTGCCAGTCCCACGCCATGCACCCGCACTCCTCAGCCCTTGGGTGGTCGATGGGACTGGGCGCTGTGGAGCAGGGGACGGCGCTCGTGGAGGAGGCTCGGGCCGCACAGAAGCCCATGGAGTGGGTGGGAGGCTCAGGCATGGCGAGCTGCAGGTCCCGAGCCCTGCCCTGCGGGAAGGCAGCTAAGGCCCGGCGAGAAATCGAGCGCAGCGCCGGTGGGCCGGCACTGCTGGGGGACCCAGTACACCCTCCGCAGCCGCTGGCCCGGGTGCTAAGCCCCTCATTGCCCGGGGCCGGCAGGGCCGGCCCGCTGCTCTGAGTGCGGGCCCGCCAAGCCCACGCCCACCCGGAACTCCAGCTGGCCCGCAAGCGCGGCGCGCAGCCCCGGTTCCCGCTCGCGCCTCTCGCTCCACACCTCCCTGCAAGCTAAGGGAGCCGGCTCTGGCCTTAGCCAGCCCAGAAAGGGGCTCCAACAGTGCAGTGGTGGGCTGAAGTGTTCCTCAAGTGCCGCCGAAGTGGGAGCCCAGGCAGAGGAGGCGCCGAGAGCGAAGGAGGGCTGTGAGGACTGCCAGCACGTTGTCACCTCTCAGTATGTTTTAATTTCTTGCTTTTTACTGTTTGTTTAACTGTTATGGGTTTTTCTTTTGTAGTTAACATGAGGCTTGCTTGCAAGTAACATTTTAGAACCAACTATTTTAAACTGCTGACAACCTAATACTAATTACAGAGAGAAAAAAAAAACAAAAACAACAAGCAGAGAGAACACTAAAAACCTTCACACTTTAACTGTATTCCCCATGCTTTGTGACTTTTAATTGTCTCTGCTTTTTTGGTATATCATCTATCTCTCAAAAAGTTGTTTTTGTTGGAGGCTGAGGCAGGAGAATCGCTAAAACCCAGGAGGCAGAAATTGCAGTGAGCCAAGATCACGCCACTGCACTCCAGCCTGGGTGACAGAGCGAGATTCAGTCTCAAAAAAAAAAAAAGTTTTTGTTATTATTTTGGTAGTTTTTTAGCTTTCCTTAAGAAATATGAGTGGTTTTCACGCCGTGATTACAGTGTTAGAGTATTCTGTGTTTGTGCGTGTACTTACTATTTTCCGTGAGTTTTATACTTTCAGATGATTTCTTCTTGCTAGTTAACTTCCTTTTAGTTTAGATTGAAGAACTTCCTTTAGCATTTTTTATAAAATAGGTCTGATGTTGACAAAATCCCCTATTTTTTGTTTGTCTCGGAGAATCTATATTTCTTTTTCATGTTTGAAGGGTAATTTTGCCAGATACTTCCAAATGGGAAAACTATATCTGGCAAACAAACAAACAAAAAAACAAAAAAAAAACCCTTTTTTTCACTTCTTTCAGCACTTTGAATATGTCATCCCACTCTCACCTGACTTGTAAGGTTTCTACTGAAAAGTATGTTGCCAGATGCCAGATGTTTGAGAGCTCTTTTGTATTTATTTATTTCTTTTTTCTTTCTGGTTTTAGGATCTTTTCTTTACCTTTGACCTTTGGGAATTTGATTTTTAAGTACCTTTAGGTAGTTGAATCTTTTTGTCTTTCTTTCTTATCTTGTATCTGAATATTGATTTCTTTCTTTAGGTTTGGAAATTTCTCTGTTATTATTTCTATGAATAAACTTTCTACCCAGTATCTCTCTCTACTTCCTCTTTACAGCCAATAACTCTTAAATTTGTCCTTTTGAAGCTATTTTCTAGATCTTGCCGTAAGCTTCATTTTTTTTTAATGTTTTACTTTTTCTCTTCTGATTGTGTATTTTTATATAGGCTGTCTTCAGGATCATTAATTCTTTCTTTTGCTTGATGAATTCTGCTATTGAGAGACTCTGATGCATATTTCAGTTTGTCAATTGAATATTTTAGCTCCAGAATTTCTACTTTATTTTTAGTGTCAATCTCTTTATTAAATGCTTCTGATAGAATTTTGAATTTCTTCTGGTTTTTTTTTTTTTTTTGGAGTTTGTTGAACATCCTCAAAACACACCTTGATAAAGTTAAAAGAATAGATCATATAACATGTGCTCATACCAAAATATAATTAAACCATATATCAATAACTTAAAGATAGCTGGAAAACCTCTAAATATTTGTAAATTAGAAGACATGCATACTTCAAACTAACACATACATCAAAACAAAGTCTAAAGAGAAATTACTAAAAATATATTTTGAACAGACTGAATATGAAAATGCAACATATCCAAATTTGTCTGATGCAGGGAAACCAGTATTTAAATAACAGTTCATAGCATTAAGTGAATAATCAAAAAGAAATTTTAAAATTACATTAATAACCTAAGACTTCAAGTTAGGAAACTACAGATAAAGGAGAATTTCTTTGCTAACACAAACAGAAAAAAAATACATAATAAAAATTAGAGTAGAGATCAACGATAATTGAAGCATGGAAATAATATAAAAAATGAATAAAATAAAAGCTGGTTACTTTAGAAAATCAATTAAAAGGGATATATTTTAGAATGGCTGCAAACAATAGCAAAAATATATGACACAAATTATCAATGTCAGAAATGAAAGAGGTTATTACTGATCCTGTTGATATTAAAGGATAATAAACACTACAAACTATGTTAGGCACACACATTTATTAATCTAAAATGAACCTTTTTTTAAATCACACAACTATAAAAAGTCACACAAGATTGAAAGGATAACAAGAATAGAGCTAATAAAGAAAATAAATTAATAACCTTGCAAAAATAAAATGTAAAATTCAAATGGTTTCACTAGTAAATTCTACCAAATATTAAATGAGAAATCATAAATATATTATTCAACATTTCTTCCAAAAAAGAATAGAGGAAAATACTTTCTAACTCATTCTATGAGGCAGCATTGTCCTTATACTGAAGTCAGATAAAAGCTTTACAAGAAAGAAAAACTGCAGATCAGTCTCTCTCACAAATATAGAAGCCAAACTCCTAAACAAGTATTTGCAATTTAATTTTAAAAAGTATAAAAATAATTATATATTATGTTCAAGTTAGTATAGAAATCTGGATCAAAATGTAAAAATAAAACAATATGTTATTATTTAAGATTGAGTGCCTGTATTAAAACATCTCATATACCCCATAAACATATACACCACTATGTACACATAAAAATTAAAATTTTAAAAATTTAAAAACTAAAATCAGAAAATATAATCTATGGCATCAAAATGCGAAAGATGACAAATCATGACCATATTAAGTGATACGGAAAAACCATGTGACAAAATTCATAAACGATTCATGATAGAAACACTCAGAACCAATGAACATCAGAAAACTAGAGGAACATCTTCAACTTGACAAAGAACATCATAAAAATTCTAGTGTTGGTAAAAAAAAAACAGTGCTTTTCCTTCATCCCAAAACAAGGTAAAATATATACTCTCTATTCAGTCTCTAAATGGAAGTCTATAGGACAAAGTCAATCAATTGGACAAAGACAAGAAAATGAACTTAAAGATCTATAGATTAGAAAGAAATAAATACAACTCTCTTTATTCACAGATAAAATCTTTGTCTATATAAAGTATCCAAAAAAAGTACAATGAACATTCTTAGAATGTTAAACAATATAAGCAAGGGTAAAATGCAATGGTACAAATATTAAACAATATATGTTCAATATATAAATGTAAATTGTATACTTATTTACCATCAATGAATAATTAAAATTTTAAATTAAAAAACCAATTTCAAAATTACTCAAAAATAAAATACTTAACAATTATAACAAAATATGTACTGGAATTCTATGTAGAAAACTATAAAATGCTGACGTATGAAATTAAAGAGCTAAATAAATGGAGAGACATTCCATGTTCAAGGATTGGAAGACTACATATTTATGAAATTGTCTAAATTTAACATTAAAGCTATAGATTCAATCCCAACCTAAATTTGCAGTTCCAATCACAGTCCAAGTAAACTATTTCATAGTGATAAACACATTAATTCAGAAATTTGTATTGAATGAAGAAAGACCTAAAATAAGCAAAAAAAAAAAAAATAGTAAAGAAGAAGAGAAAGTTGGAGGGCTAGCATTATTTGAGTTTAAGACTTTCTACAAATATAAATAATAAAAAAGTATGACATTAGAGAAAGAATAGACACATACATAAATGTAACAGAATAGAGAGCTCAGAAATACGCCCATGCAAATATAGCCAGTGACCGTTGACAAAGTCACAAAGGCTTTACAATGAAAATAGGATTGTCTTTTAAACAAAGGATCCTGAGAGAATTGAATGTCTATATGCAAATGATAAATGAATAAATAAGAACCTGGATAAAGACTTTAACATTATTCACAAAAAATAACTCAGATTAATTAGGAATTTAAATGTAAAACACAAAACAAAAATGTGTGCATTATCAATGCTCATTTTTACATTTTGTACCCTTTTCTCCTGGCAGCCTTTTATTGCATCTCCTCATACAAAGATCATCCATACAGTTGGCATGTTGTTGCTTTTCTCAAATTTAATTAAAAAGCATATAGCACAAGCTCTAGCATAAAGTAGATGCAAGAACAGTATAAGCCTCCCTCATGGATTTCTATTTGAAGGTTACCAAATAAAATATGAGTAAAAGAACCGTAAGATGCAGGAATTAAAGCTCCAGTGGAGTAGGCAGTATCAGCTTCCTTATATTATAAAACAAACATAAATATATAGATTGTATAATCCTCCCTTGACTAAGAGTGTCCACAATCTGACTCATGCTTACCTAGTGAACGATAAATATTATTTTTTGCTATGGCAAATTAGGGTGGAACATGGATATCAATATTTTATAGAGAACATGGATATCAATATTTTATAGAGGGAAATTACAGAAAATCCACCTAGGGAAATACATTCAAACATGTCAGTAGAACAAGACAGTATCAGTGGTAGTATTAGCATTCATGTTAGTTTCCTCGGGTTGCCATAACAAAATACCACACACTGAGTGATTTTAAACAGCAGAAATTTATTTTACAGATTTAGAGGCTAGAAATCTGAGAAGATGTTGACAAGGCCATGCTCCATCTGAAGACACTAGGGAAGGATTTATTCCAGAACTCTGCCCCAGCCTCTGGTGATTCCTTGATTTGTGGTAGCAAAACTCAAACTTTCACTTGCCATTCTCCCTGTGTGCTTGCCTTGATTCCAATTTCCCGTTTTTCTTAAGGCCACCAGTTATATTGGAAAATGGACCCACCCCACTTCAGTAGGACCTGATTATAACTAATTATGTCTGAAATGATCCAGTTTTTAAAGAAGGCCACATTCTGAGATACTGGAAGTGAGGATATCAACACATGAATTTTGGGGTACATAATTAAACTCATAAAAGGAAGTATCAAGGACTAAGATTAAGCAAGATGAGAAGCAACTTTTAGAAAATGGGGGCATACCAGTGCCAGAAATAACATCTTGAATTGTGTAAAGTGGTTTGTATACCAGAGATTGGTGGCCAATTTAAGGGTTCAAAGTTATTGATATATATATATGGATAAGTTATATAGAGTGATGTACTCAGATATGTAATGTTAAACTGAGCACTATCCATTATTATATTACTTAAAACATCTACACATCTATAGATTTAACTTTGTTTTTTAAAATATAGCCATCCCCAGTCTTGATTTATACAACATACATATATATGTATACATATATTATATATGTATGTTGTATAAATATATTTATAAATATATGTATACATATTATTAGAGAAATATGGCAAATCTTTTGAATAGAAACAAACTTAGCTCTTATAATCACTTAGTTAATAACAATTAAAAATAAATTTCAAATTTTGAAGAAGAAATCTGTTCTAATCATTGCACTGGGGCTGGGCATAGAAAATAATAATTAAATTTTATTTTTGAAAACAATTGTATAATGTGTATTTTCAGACAAGTAAAATAAAAGCATTTGAAATAAATCACATTTTAGAAATTTCAAGATAAGAACACTTGGGTCAGTTTTTAAAAATTGGCCTTTGTATTACCTGAAAGGGCAGTATCATTTCAGACTTACATAGTGTAAATCTAGTTATCTGAGTTTCTCTAAATACTCATTGCCTCTGGGTCACAAAACTGCAAACAACCATTTTGAAAGGGATACCTTTTGGTACCCAAATCTTAAAAAATCTATAACAATTACATTTGTTTTAATAAAAAGTCAATTTTGAAAAAGAATAAACTCTCATACTTTGAGACAAGATAATAAAAACTACCAAAGTGATACTAAGTTTAAATAAAAAAGGTAATTTCTAAATATAAAATAAGGCTGTACTCACTATTAGAACTCTATCTTGATGTTTTAAAATCATTATTGTAATACATTAATTGTGATACTAAATAAATATACATATTTCAGTATTTGCCATTTGAAATGCATTTGGGGCATATAAGTTTTCTTTGAAAAAATATGAAAACTGTCATTTGAAACAACTATAAAATCAATACATGTCAAAAATAAATTTAAAATTCCAGTGCTTATAAAGAATAAAAACTAACTTTGATATTATAAGAGCTTTCCCTACAAATTATCCTGAAGTTGGTGTTATAAACTGTTACTTTTTAATTTAATATAATTTCAAACATAGGAAGTACTCAAGAATAACTCAACATGCATATGCCTTTTATTAAAATTAAATAACTATTTACTTTTGTTTTATTAGCTTTAACATTCTTTTTATATATTTACATATGTTAACACTTATTTCACATTAATATCAGGACTCCTATAGGGAGATATATATAGAGAAATATGTTAACTTTTCTGAAATGTTTGAAAATAATTTGGGAACTTATGATCATTGTATTTGTATATAAATTATTTGGTATGCTTTTTTGCTAAAAACAAGGGTATATTTTTAAATAACCTTTTGTTTCAAAATTAATAATATCATTAAATTTAACATTGATACCATAAATAACATTGATACAATAATATTAGCTAATATTACAGTCTACTATTACCTAATATTCAGATCATCTGCAAATCTGTTAAATTGTTAAAATAGCCAAAGAAATTCTGAAAAACAACAAAAAAGCAAAAATCCCAATACTCGGTTTCATAGAAACCTATTCACTTGTGCTGATGTCCTAAATAATATAATTTTTGAAGTTAGATTTTTAAAGGATTGGGCTGAAGCAGGTGGAGTTTCTAAGACTCTGGAGCACAGAATTCTTTAAGCTAGGTTTTGAGGGCATGGCTGTCTAGGCATCTAGACGTTCAACAATCAATGTAACTTCACTTATGACTGAATTAGACAAATGAAACATTATAATATTATAGTGCTCTTTTAGGTTAGTTCCCCATAGGGAGTCATTGAGATAAGAATTCATGTGCAATTGATTTATTAAACACTTCAGAAATAGTAAGAGAGAGAGTACTAAAATAGGAAAAGGTGAGGAGTCACAAATAATTCCCAGCCCCAGACTGGTTTCGCAGTGAAATCGTCAGCATAAATTACAACTTAAGAGTTTTTTTTAAAGATCTATGCAAGGGATTCTGAATTTTGGTCTCCCTTATCAATAAGTCATTTATACCTGAGTGGGTTTAAACTCTCAGGCCCTTTCAGTTTTCTCCCTTTGAGGGAGAAGGTGTAGCAGGAAGAAAGGGACAGACCTATGCAGAAAACTGCAGGTGCCAAGCATTAAAAGCAAAGCACACAGAATCTTTAAATTGAATCCAAGGGGATATGGATGGGAAAGGACAGTGTCTGCTACAATGCCTTACAGGACTTGAGGAGAAAGTTTAAAGGCAAACTGTGCTTATCTCATGATGTTACTAAAAGTGACACTTCCAGCTTCAATACTGCATAAAAACTATGAGATAGAATATTGATGTCATAATTATTATTTCTGCATTGGAGAGTAGAAGTTGGCTATATTTTTGGATGTTAAATATATTTTGTAACTTTTCACATTGTATCATTTGGTCATTCAAATATATGTCACTTCTATTACATCTAACGCTGAGCACTTTTTAGCATAAATAAAAATCGATTGATTTTTCATGTCTCTATTAATATTTTCCATGGGGAAGATATTGGAAAATTAATTGTACATCCCTTTAAACTGTGGATAAGTGATTAGTAGTTTGAAATAAAGGAGTGTTATAAATAAAAACTGAACGGCCAAATATTACAGGGTCAGTCAGATGCAGTGTCTGGAGTTCTCACTTGATGGTGTGTGTGTGTGTGTGTGAGAAATAAAGCATTGAAAGGAGTGGTGTCTGTCACAATCTAGAATGTAGGTATAGAAACCATTGTGTGAGTAAGGGAAGGGGAAGGCCTCCGTAAGGTAGCAAGTAGGTAAGCCTGCAGGTAGGGGTACTTCCTGTGAGGTGTGTCAGTAGCAACTGAGCTAAGACTTAATCTTTTTATCTAGTTTGCCAGGTACTAGTGGTTAGGTTAGCACCCATAAAAGATTCACATATGTGTGGCCCATGAAATAGAATTAGTCATAATGAGAACTAATCTTAAAAAGGCTCAGTCTTTAAAACCATTTTAATTAATTCATTTGTAAATATCTGATATAATGTTTTAGGTGTATGGTAGTGACATGATGTTAAAATCCCAATGCCTCTAGGATTCCTTGTTTTAGCACTGTCGCCTTTTCTAGAACATCTACGTTTTTGGAACAATTTTAACAAAATAAATCAGACGAGAAGAACCAGCATTTGAGCTCAATACTCATTTCCAGTAAGGTGATTTACCTTCCAGGCAACCAGAAGCCTGTAATACAAAGTAATAGGGATTTCTGAATGCAATATCATAACAATGAGCAAATTGGTAATAAGCAATATGAAGAAAAAATGAAGCTGGGGGGTAGAAGTAAAGTGACAGGGCTATTTTATATATTGTTCTCATGTAAGGCCCCTCCATGGCAGTAACGTTAATAAGAGAACAAAATAAAGAGGCAAGTGATATGACTCTGGAAAATACTGTTTGAGGCAGAGTAAGTAGCAATACAGATTCTGAAACAGCAGGGTGCTTGCTTTGTTTGAGGACCAGAAATAAGACCTGCATGGTGAAAGCGGAAACCCAAAGAGCTAGAGGAATGTGAAAGAGACCATAGAGGTAGAGAATTGATTCATGTAAACCTTACAGGGGCGATAAGAATTTTCTGAGTTAGAAACTATTGAAGCACAGGTATTACCTGTTACATATTTTAAATGGTCGTACTGGCAGTGGTGTGGCTAATATAACAGTGGAAGAAATTGAGTAATGATTGTATCAGAGCAGCTTATTTTGTGGTTATAATGCCTTCTGTACTCACTGAGTTGTCCTTGGGAAACTTCGTAGAGCTCTTTGAAATTCAGCTATGTCATTTGAGAATAGGCCAAAATACTTATTTTATTGTCGTCTTTTGAGGTTAAAGAGAAATGCATGTTAGATAATCTTGTAAACTATAAAACATCAAATCAATACGAATTGTAGAGAAATGTATAAAATTCTTTACACAAAACAGTGGTGAAATTCAGAAAATCTATCTATTTTCATTGGAAATCCATTAGGTTCCACATAATGACTTATAGTTAAATATCAATTATTTTTAAATATTTTCGCCTAATGTGACATCATTTTGAGCTAAGATATATATATATAAACAAATATTACATATATTTAACAAATGAAGGCTCTTATTTATTAATTCTTTTTTTACTTGTTAGCAACTTACATATTTGAACTACTGAATGTTTGGTTTTTTAGGACACAATACTCTTAATTTTAAGAAGATTAACAAATGAATCTATCATGTTATTAGTTTTTGAAATAATTTTATTATTCCATACTTTGCATAATATCTCAATTAATTTTAATTGATTTTTTTTGAGATGGAGTTTGCTTTTGTTGCCCAGGCTGGAGTACAATGGCATGATCTCTGCTCACTGCAACCTCCACCTCCCAGGTTCAAGGGATTCTCCTGTCTCAGCCTCCTGAGTAGCTGAGATTACAGGCGCCAGCCACCAAGCCCAGCTAATTTTTTGTTTTTTAGTAGAGACAGAGTTTCACCATATTGGCCAGGGTGGTCTCGAATTCCTGACCTCAAGTGAACCACCCGCCTACACCTCCCAAAATGCTAGGATTACAGGCATGAGCCACCATGCCCAGCCAAATTTTAACTTATTTTTCAGTGAAAATGTTTTAATGAAGAGTTAGGCTACTTGTAGCATTTCTACTTTACTTAACTCTATCATCAATGACAATTACTAGAGAAATTTAAAATTATCTGTACAAATAATGCCTTTTTTACTCCATAAATATTAATTTCAATACCTTCCAAATAATAAATTAAGTCCATAAACTTAATTATAAGCATATTACCAAAGCAAACTATGAAATTTGTCATAGTGCTCTAAATAGTAGCTGCTGCTTTAAAGAGTCCTTGATTGACCTCTGGCAAGAGGAACATTATTCAGTAAAATGAGTTATTTCACCTACAGAAATAGCATTCATTTGCCAACAATGTCGGTGAGTTTTCACCACTTCCTTTCATTTTAGCAATCAATTTGAGAGCTGTACTAAAAGCAGCATAAAGTTCATTGTCCTCTGGCACAAAATCAGACAGCACATTTAAATTTGGCTGTGCTATAAAACCCATGTAAACAATAAATGCTTTTACATAAAAATATGTCCAAAGTGAAATACCTTAAAATACGTATAATAAATTAAAAAAGAGTGTTTTAGAAATCTTTAAGAATTTTTTTTCAGTTAATTTCATGGAAAATGCGTAACAAAAATTATGTACAAATTATTTATACTTGCTTATCTTTAGTTCAAAAATTTACATAGTTGTTTTAGCTAAAAAGCATAAAGTAATATTATTTTTTAAGTTTATACTTTGGACAATGACTACAAAAATTGTTATATACATTATTTGAAATAATTCACCAAAATGTTTTTTGAAGTTGGTGCTAGCACTATATTGAGAAACTGAGGCATTGAGTTGGGTTATTTCCCCAAGCTCTCAAAGGGTAAATTATGGAGCCATGATTCAAATCCAAGCTGTCTGCACCCCAATCATAATTATTAAACACTGTATTATATTGCTTATGGAAAATCATAACAGAAATAATGTGAAGCAAAAATAATCTTCATTTAACCTTTTCTGATAATTTGATTTATTACCAAAGCTGCATGTTTGTAAAATCATATGATTTTTCACTTATCAAATTGATAAGATTTTTTTTCATCCAAACATGAGTTCAAATTGGAATGTCATATGATGCAATCTCTCTAAAAATAATTTAGGCAAATAAATTAAAAGCTTGATAAGAGGTATAACTTTTGACCCAGGAACTCGTAATTCAGAAAAGTAATTCTAGATTATCAATGGTCAGGGCATGTGGAAATGGAAAGTCCCCAGAGAAGATTGCCTAAAGTGAAAATAACTGGTTGCCATGTTTATTGTAAGAAAAGAGTTCAGGAACACAAGCCCATGATGATTAAAGGATGCAATATTACATTTCATTAGGCCCATAAAACTAGAGTTATTGGGTGGTGATATATGATTCTTAATAGAAACATTATATAAACTGCACAAAGAGAATTTGTTTCAGGGTGGGAATATAACCACATAGCCACTTAGTTTTCATGGAAGACTTCATGATGTAGAGTTTGTCACCATTGTTTGAAATCAATTAGTGTAATTATAATATATAACTCACTTAAATCCCTGTTCTTTAGAGCAAATAAGACTTGAATTTTATTAATGACTAAGATTGTTACCAATAATTCACCCATTTAGCAAAGATAATGAAGTTTATAAACAGGAGAGACCCCTCTGGTCTTTGGTTGGCTAGCCTGGATACCATGTTAGAAATGATCCTCCATAATCCTTTGGTGCTCTGGTGTTTTTTTTTTTTTTTTTTTTTCCCCACTTTGGGCTATAGAATTCAGATTGCCAAGATCTCCCAGCTCCTGCCTCACAACATCAGCAGAAACTGTGATTAAGCAGGAGAAGATCATTCTCAGTTACTCTTGGAAATAGGATACATCTACCAGTTTCCTAATTTGGGTAAATTTTTACCTTCTGTTATCTCAGGTGCAGCCTAACCCAGTCTATCGGCATAAGGTTCCTCATGTTTATTTGATTCAGCTCAGCATGCACCCTCCTCAGGACACCTGGATTTGTTCTTTGCTCTGTCTGGATTATTCATCCAGAAGGAATATATAGATGGTTTAATTCCTCACTAACCTAAGGTCTTTATGTAAGTGTCACCTTCCTAATAAAGCTTGTGTGGTAATACCATTAGTACTCACAAATATCTAAAGCTCCTTACTTTCTTGGAAACATAAAAAACCACAGTACCCAATCTGACTACAATTAGATAGAACTGTGACTGTGAGAGAAAAGAGTGTTATGTCTAGACAAAAAACAGTGAAAAGCCCATAACCAGTATGCCCACACCCTCATCCCCATCACAGCAAGAATGAGGGCCATATTTTGTTATTATGGCCCCAGGATTTTGTCCCCTATTAGACCATTCCTACATTGCAATAAAGAGACTGGGCAATTTATAGAGAAAAATGTATAATGGGCTCACGGATCTGCAGGCTGTACAGGAAGCACCGTGCTGGCATCTGCTCAGCTTTCAGGAAGGCCTCAGGGAGCTTTAGCTCATGGGAGATGGCAAAGGGGAAACTGGCCTCTCAGAGGGCCAGAGCAGGAACGAGAGAGGGAGGTGCCACATACTTTTAAATAACCAGACCTCAGGAGAACCTACTGTCATGAAGACAGCACCAGAAGGATGGTGCTAAACCATTCATGAGAAATCCACCTGTATGATCCAGTCACCTCCCATCAGGCCCCACCTCCAATACTGGGAATTACAATTCTACCTGAGATTATTTTCTTGGGGAAAAGTATACAAACTATTTCACTGTGTAATGCCTTAGGAGAAAGTTGCCATAGAGAGTGGCCAGAGTTATGAAAAACAATAAAATAAGAAAACAGTATGAAATGGTTGTTAAGTATTTCTAAATGTTTACTAAACATTTCCAAAGATTTTCGTGAGCCAAAAATATACATATTCATGTGTCAAATCAACTAAAATTTTAGAGTTCATATTTTACTGTAATTTAACCTATCTGACTAATGTGACTTTCTTAAATGCACAAGTTAAAATTACAAATAGTTACCTAAAGACTCTGTTCTGCTTATTTCCTTCTTCTTATTTTTTTATACCTCTTGTAATCTAACATAGTGTACATTTTTAAAAAACTTATTATTATTACCACCACAGTCTCACTTAAGTACAGACACAAGAGAATAAAGATTTTTTATCTGTTTGTTGACTGCTACATCTGGGTAGTCAATAAATATTTGTAGAAAATCACATTAATGAAAATGTATAAATTAATTTCAGCATTCATGTGTTAAATTTCTGCTTACATCAATTGTCTATTTTCAAACTAATTTTCTGTCAGCATTGTATTTATATATATTTTTATACATAATTATAAATATATATAAATATAAATGTGTTATATATAAGTATAAATATATAATATATTTATATAATATATATTATATATATTTCTTTGAGAAAGAGTTTGCTTTCACAATATAATTTCTTATATTTTAAGCAAAATCCGATTAATTAAATGGTGTTCATGAATCATAAAGTAATTTGACAATTTTTTTTTAAGTTTTACTCTTGATAATGAATGCTATAATTATTATAATTCAGTGTGGTCCTATGAGTTAATTTTAAATTTTCTTCCTCTGGATTTCATCCAAAACTCATAATCTTCTGCCTTTATACAATTATTTGTGTTTTTAGATACTTAATCATCTTTGTGTTATAAGATGAAAGTCAGTAGAAATTCTGTTTACTTGAAAATTCTGATGAGAAAGAATTTTATACATTTTGTTGCCTCAATTTCCTTCTCAGGTGTTTCCTTAGAGATTATGTATATTCCTTCTTTTATGTATTATTAGGAAAAGAGACAATGGTTATGAGGCTAACAAAACTGCTACTTATTTGATTTTCTCATTTTCTGTGAGTAAAAATTTGAAAATTTTGGTTTATATCATTTATCAAATCTTTATGGAAAGAACAAAAGAATCTGTGAACATAACATAAAATGATTGTTAAATACTTCTAATTATTTACTATACTTTTCAAAGACAGAAATTCCTTGTCTCAGAAATTGAGAGAGTAATGATATGGCTATCAGTTTTATTCTACTATTTTATTCCAGTTTTTTAAAGAAGAGTGACAATCAATAGCATCTTATTGGTAATTAATGTTACGTAAATATGGCATAAAAATTATGCAGTTATTTTTATGATTGAACAATTTTTACTATTAAAAACCCAACCTAACATTTTGGCCAAATGCTTTCCTATATCATCTTGTTCAGATATCTGTTTTCACCTGCTGCTTGCATCTTCTCTGTCTCTGTCTCTCTCTCTGTCTTGAGAAAGTGAAATTGTTAGCTATTGGACAAACGTGTTACTTAACAACAACTTCTCTTTCCCTCTTGTATGTAATATATAATAATTATATTATGTATATTATATAATAGCATATTATATATACTAGACTGCACATTATATATGTACTATATAATACTATATTATATAGTATTCTGAATATTACTCCATATTTTAATTTTAAAAGTAAATATTATTCAGTATTTAAAATAGGTTACATGGATTGAAAAGACAAAATTGATAAATGGCTTTCTGATTGTCAAAAATTATGTTTACCCTGTTTTACTTAAGAAAGTGAAAAGTGTATACATTTATGTTCTTTATTGAACTTAGGTTAGTACTTGGTTAACATTAGATCATTGTCCTCCAATAGCATATGTACTTAATAAAACAATATTAGAGTTTATATAATATTGACATCGCAGTGGTTTTTTTATATGTTTAGTTCTACTTTAAAAATTATACAACTCGACTATATGTACTTAGACAAAAAATATAAGAGGGAATTTTTTTTTTTTTTATAACTGAGTTTTGCTCTTGTTGCCCAGTCCGGAGTGCAATGGCGTGATCTTGGCTGACCACAATCTCCGCTTCCCAGGTTCATGTGATTCTCCTGCCTCAGCCTCCCAAATAGCTGGGATTACAGGCATGCACTACCACGTCTGGCTAATTTTGTATTTTTAGTAGAAACGGGGTTTCTCCATGTTGGGCAGCCGGTCTCGAACTTCCGACCTCAAGTGATCTGTCCGCCTTGGCCTCCCAAAGTGCTGGGATTACAGGCATGAGCCACTGTGCCCAGCCAAGAGGAGATAGTTTTATAGGTGTAATAATTTGATGTTTTGAAGAGGTTCTTCATCACTCAGAAACAATTTTTTAAATAATGGAATAAGTATATTTTCTACACTCTTTCTTCATTTACTCTAACCAAAATAGGCAAATAATCAAGCTCTCTGAAGCATAGCACCACCAGGATCATCCATCCATGAAGCCAATTTCATATTATTCAGACTATAAAATTTATCTTTATGATTTGTCTCCCTTCAATAATTTTTTTTTACTTTTTCTGCTGTAGAATTTCATTTGATTATCCCCCATTGTGTTTGCCTTTAATCATTTAGCCTCATAATTTTAAAACTTGATAGGTTAACATGAGAAATTACTGAATTATTATGAATGTATAAGGAAAAATTAACATAGTATTTTTAGAACAGACAAAATAAGAGAATATTTCTATTGTTAAAACTATCAAAGTAAGGAATCCTACAGGTAGTTATCATGGGATGGGGAACTAGTGTTTGGAATATTTAAAATACGGTTAGTTTTTAACATATATATGTCAGAACCACTGCTATATTAGGTAATAGCTAATATATTTAACAGGAAATTATTTATTTGCCTTAATATACTCGTTCAAATTAATTTTCCTATTAATATTTTTCAAGAGCAATAAAATTTTTATTTCTACTTAATAATTATTTAGAAAAATACTTTTCTGTTCTACTCTTGACTTTAGAACCTGTTAGTCTTTCACACAAATCAATTAAAGAAAATAGTCAAAAATGGAAAAATAGAATATAAGCAGAAAGGAATCAAATAACATTTAAAATAAGTAACATAACCACCATGACGTCCATGAAAGAGAACTAACCCCAGTAGTTTTTTATCAGTATTTGGATAATTTATTCTCAGGCCAAGAAAAAGAAACTCTAAAAATATTGAACTTTATAGTTAATAGGTTTATTTTTCACGGAGGCATAGTTAGAAGATCTAAAACTACTTTTTTTCATTAAAAGACTGAACAGTTTGGTCAATGCATAATGGACAACTGGGTCTTGGTTTCTCAATATGAAGATAACAGTTATAAATATAGAACAAAGGAAGAATGAGGCTTTGTTGTTGAATTGGAATGGAAAGTGTCAGTGTGAGCTCATGTGTTTATATAGAAACCAATACTGATACATTTTTTAGATATAGATGTGTAAGGCATAAATATACGATGGAGCCTAAATATAGATAGATCTATAGATACTGATGTATCGAGGTACATATATATGTATGCATGCAAATATACACATATTTAGCCTAGAACAGTGATCTTCCAGCGTCTGTGAACTCACTATCCCCAAGTCCTGGTTGATACGTATAATTATTTGCTAAAAGGAATGAGAACTTTCTGGGAAAAGGTCTGATTCCAAGGCTAGGGCAGCAGAAGTTCAAGATAAATCCAAAATATCTTGTCCTCTGGAATGTGAGAAAGTGCTGTGGAATAAGAGGGAAGAACCAAAAACAAAAACTAGCTCAAAGAGTTTTCCCTTCAACCTATGGCAGTTATTAAATAAATAAGAAATCTGAGTTCACACTGATATAAAAATAAGAAGAAGAAAGCAAAGCTCTTTTTAGAGAAGGAAGGCAACAAATAAAACATTTCAAAAAAAAAAAAAAAGATTAACCACACTTCCTAGCCTCTGGTAACCATTATTCTACTGTCTGTTTCCATGAGTTCAATTTTTTTTTTTTGCTCAAACATATTAGTGAGAACATGAAATATTCGTCTTTCATTGTATGTTTATATCAAAATAACACATGTCCCCCAAGAATACATGCAACTATTATGTATCCATAATAATTAAAAATCTAAAAATTAAAAAGTAGTGATTAAGAAATCATGTTTAGAAACATTATTACAAAAATTCATTTAGAAAATAATTATCAGAAAATTTGAATACTAGTGTATGTTTTTATATTATTTATATATCTTCTTCAAACATAAAAATGAAATAAAAAGAAATATTAACTCTGCATTAGAGAAACTTCTCAGGTCCTACCTTAACCATGTGTGCAAAATAAACCTCACCCATGCTAGAACATACTAATTCCGTATGTCTCCTGACATAATGCACTTTTAGAAGAACATAATGTCACTTGCGTATTATTCTTGTCAAAAGTACATAAACCAGCATCTGATCCTGAGGTAACATTAGAAAATCTGATTTGAGGAATATTTTACAAAATAATTGACCAGTACTCTGTAAAAATATCAATATTAGAGAACAAAAGGAAAGGCTGAAGTACTCAGAGAGATTAAAGAGTAATAAAATGACAACCAAATGCAAGGCATGATCTGTGATTTCCTTATTGCTCAGTAAACATTATTGGGACTGTTTAAAATATTTAGAGAAAGTATGCTGATTACAGTATTTTTAGTCATTACTAATTTCCTGATTTTAATCATTACACTGCAGTTAAGAGCTTTTAAAAACAGAACAATCTGAAATACTTAGAGATGAGGCATATGGGCTGTAACTTATTCTCAAATGGTTTAGAAAATAATACGTAATCAATATAATTTTATGTAATTTATATATCTAAATTTATGAATTTGATGTGATTTGGCAGTGGCCCCACCCAAATCTCATCTTGAATTGTAGTTTCCATAATCCCCATGTATTGTGGGAGGGACCAGGTGAAGATAAATGAATCATGGGGGCAAGTTCCCCCATCCTGTTCTCATGATAGTGAGTTAGTTCTCACAAGATCTGATGGTTTTGTAAGGGGTTATCCCCCTTGCTGGGCTCTCCTTCTTTTCCTTCCTGCTATCATGGGAAGAAGGATGTGTTTGCTTCCCCTTCCACTATGATTGTAAATTTCCTGAGGCCTCCCCAGCCCCGTAGAACTGTGAGTCAATTGAACCTCTTTCCTGTATAAATCACCCAATTTTGGGTATTTCTTCATAGCAATGTGAGAACAGACTAATACCCTATCTTAATCTATAAGTAGAAATAAACATAGGTATATATAGTAATACATACACATATACATATAGATATACACACATGTATGTATGTATATGTAGAATAATAAATTAAATTTTAACTATTAGCATTTTAGGAATCTAGATGATTATATAAATTCTTTATATAATTCTCAAATATTTTCTATATGTCTGAAATTATGAAACACTTAGAAATATCATTAAAGAAAAAGAAAATACTTCATACTAGCAATGGTTAAAGACACACACACAAATACATAAGGTTTAAAAGTCTTTTTATCTTCTTTTTAATTGTGAGAGCAATAATCTCCCTTGACCAGAAACTAGCATTTATCAATTATTTCTTAAGTCATTTATTTTGTTCAATACCTTGTTAAATCAAGCCAGCAGTAACTATGTTCTGCTATCATCCTAATTTCTAACGTTTTTCCCCTTGAGCTACATGCTTTATGGTATATGGTCTAGATCCAGGAAGTAGAGCAAGATAGCTGAAGCGAAGCCTCCACCAATCATCCTACTCACAGGAATGCCAAATTGAACAACCTTCTACAGAAAAAATAACCTTTATAAGAACCCAGTATTAGTTCAGGTACCAGCCCAGCTACAGTTGGTAGAGCACCGAGTGGGCTCTTGGGGTCCCGACTTCTAGGCCTTGTGATATAGTTTGGCTGTGCCCCCACCCAAATCTCAACTTGAATTGTATCTCCTAGAATTTCCATGTGCTGTGGGAGGGACCCAAGGGGGAGGTAGTTGAATCATGAGGGCTGGTCTTTCCCATGCTATTCTCGAAATAGTGAACAAGTCTCAAGAGATCTGATGGGTTTATCAGGGGTTTCTGCTTTGACTTCTCTTTCATTTTTTTTCTTGCTGCCACCATGTAAGAAGTGCCTTTCACCTCCTGCCATGATTCTGAGGCTTCCCCAGCCATGCAGAACTGTAAGTCCAATTAAACCTCTTTTTCTTCACAGTCTCTGGTATGTCTTTATGAGCAGCATGAAAATGGACTAGTAGAGTAAATTGGTACCACTAGAGTCGGGCATTGCTGAAAAAATACGCAAAAATATGGAAGCAACTTTGGAACTGGGTAACAGACAGAGGTTGGAACAGTTTGGAGGGCTCAGAAGACAGGAAAATGTGGGAATGTTTGGAACCTCCTAGAGACTTTTTGAATGGCTTTGACAAAAATGCTGACAGCCGTATGAACAATAAGGTCCAGGCTGAGGTGGTCTCAGATGGAGATGAGGAACTTGTTGGGAGATGGAACAAAGATGACTCTTGTCATGTTTTAGCAAAGAGACTGGGAGCATTTTGCTCCTGCCCTAGAGATTTGTGGAACTTTGAACTAGAGAGAGTTGATTTAGGGTATATGGCAGAAGAAATTTCTAAGCAGCAAAGCTTTCAAAAGGTGACTTGGGTGCTATAAAAATCATTCCATTTTAAGAGGGAAACAGAGCATAAAAGTTCAGATAATTTATAGCCTGATGATGCAGTGGAAAAGAAAAATCCATTTTTTTGAGGAGAAATTCAAGCCAGCTGCCAAAATTTGCATAAAAGCAAAGAGCATAATGTTAATCCCCAAGACCATGGGGAAAATGTCTCCAGGCCATGTCAGAGACCTTCATGGCAGCCCCTCCATTACAGGCCTGGAGGCCCAGGAGGAAAAAGTGGTTTCATGGGCTGGGCCCAAGGTCCTCATGCTGTATACAGCCTAGGGACTTGGTGCCCTCTGTCCCAGTTGCTCCAGCCATGGCTTAAAGGGGCCAAGGTGTTTCATCCATGGTTTCAGAGGGTGCAAGCCCCAAACCTTGGAAGCTTCCATGTGGTGTTGAGCCTGTGGGTACACAGAAGTCAAGATATGAGGGTTGGGAACCTCTGCCTAGATTTCAGAAGATGTATGGAAATGCCTGGATACCCAGGCAAAAGTTTGCTGCAGGGGTGGGACCCTCATGGAGAACCTCTGCTAGGGCAGTGCAGACGGTAAATGTGGGGTCAGAGCCCGCTTACAGTGTCCCTACTGGGACACTGCATAATGGAGATGTGAGAAGAGAGCCACTGTCCTCCAGACCCCAGAATGGTAGATCCACATGGGCTAGAAAATCAACACTAGCCCATGAAAGCAGCCAGGAGAGAGGCTGTACTCTGCAAAGCCACAGGGACAGAGCTGCCCAAGACCATGCAAACCCACCTCTTGCATAAGCGTGACATGGATATGAGACCTGGAGTCAAAGGATATCATTTTGGAGTTTTAAAATTTGACTGCCCCGCTTGATTTCAGACTTGCATGGGCCTGGTAACCCCTTTGTTTTGGCCAATTTATCCTATTTGAAATGGCTGTATTTACCCAATGCCTGCACCTGCATTGTATCTAAGAAGTAACTAGCTTGCTTTTGATTTTAGAGGATTATAGGCAAAAGGGACTTGCCTTGTCTCAAATGAGACTTTGGACTGTGGACTTTTTGGTCAGTGCCAAAATGAGTTAAGACTTTGGGGAACTGTTGGGAAAGCATGATTGCTTTTGAAACGTGAGGACATGAGATTTGGAGAAGCCAGGGGTGGAATGATATGGTTTGCCTCTGTCCCCACCAAAATCTTAACTTGAATTTTATCTCCCAGAATTCCCACTTGTGTGGAGGTACCAGGGGGAGGTAATTGAATTATGGGGGCCAGTCTTTCCCATGCTATTCTTGTGATAGTGAATAAGTCTGACAAGATATGATGGGTTTATCAGGGGTTTTTGCTTTGGCTTCTCTCTCATTTTTCTCTTGCTTCCATCATGTAATAAGTGCCTTTCACTTCCCACCATGTTTCTGAGTCTTCTTCAGCCATGTGAAACTGTAAGTCCAATTAAACGTCTTTTCTCCCCCAGTCTCTGGTATGTCTTTATCAGCAGCATGAAAATGGACTAACGTAACTTGGCTCTTGGATGGCATTTCTGGACTTTGCCTGTTCCAGAATGGAATCCACTGCCCTGAAGAGAAAGTCCAGGCCACGAAGCATTCATCACAAGCTGACTGAAGAGCCCTAGGTGCCTTGAATGAACATAGACAGTAGTCAGGCAGTACTCATCATGGGCTTGGGGTGGTGGTGGCTACCAGAAGAGACTCCTTTGCCTGTGGACAACAGGGGACAGAGTGGAAAGGACTTTGTCATGTGACTTGGGTGTCAGCTCAGCTGCAGTAGAAAAGATCACCAGGTAGATTCCTAAAATTTCCAACTCCAAGCTCTGGCTTCTGGATGGCAACTCTGGACCCAGCTGCAACCAGGGAGAGCTCACTGCCCTGAAGAGAAGGACACAAGCTTACTGGCTTTGCCAATTGTTGACTGTAGAGCCCTAGGTCTCCGAGTAAACATAGATGGTAACGAGGCAGTGGTTACTGTGGGCCTTGAGACCCAATTCTGTGCTGGCTTCAGATTTAACCCAGTACAGTCCCAGTGGTGGTTGTCACAGGGGTGCTTGTGTCATTCTGCCACCAGCTCCAGGCAGCTCAGCAGAGAGGCTCTGTTTGGGAGAATGTAAGGGAAGAGAACAAGAGTCTCTGCCTGGTCATTCAGAGAATTCTTCCAGATATTACCCAAGACCACCAAGGTGGTACAGCTACAAGTCTGCAAGAGCCACAGCATGACTGGACTTGCAGTTGCCCCTAATGCAAATATGACTGCAGTGACCAAAAGGTTAGATAACAATACCCAAGTACCTTTGAATACCTGGAAATCCTCCCCAAGTGGGATAACTATAAACAAGTCTGGACTATGAAGACTACAATAAATACCTAATTCTTCAATGTCCAGATGCCAATGAACATCAACGAGCATCAAGACCATCCAGGAAAGCATGACCTCATTAAAGAACTAAATAAGGCACCGGTGTTCAATCCTGGAGAGAGAGAGAGTTCAAAATACCTTTTTGAAGGAAATTCAGTGAAATTCAAGATGACACAGGGAAGGAGTTCAGAATTATATTAGATGAGTTTAACAAAGAGATATAAATAATTTTAAAGAGTAAAGCAGAAATTCTGGACTAAAAAATGCAATTGGCTGAAGACTATACTAATTCTTATTATACTAATTCTTTTTACTAATTCTTTATATTAATACTAATTCTTTATACTATAAATTATACTAATTTATAGTATAATACTAATAATACTAAGAATTATACTAATTCTTTATACTAATTCTTATATACTAATTCTTTAATATACCATATACTAAAGAATATGGTATATGGTCTACTTAACATGTAACAAGAAACAATAGTTTCCCCCAAAAAATTGCTTCTCATGTATAACGGATCACCATCTTTTCAACGTCAAACAATTATTCTCATACTGTTAGCCAATAGACAGTGAGATACTTCCACATACTTTTGGTTTTGTTTTGTTAATAGCCAATCATTGATTATAATATTATTGCAATGTAACATATTTAGTACAGTTTTCCTAGAATATTATAATACATTTCTTTTCTAGAATATTATATATAATTCAAATGTATTAGTATACTAAACTAAAATAGTCACCATTAAATATTATTCCTTAATGCATAAAATAACAAAATTTTAGAAAAATATTAGTTTCTGTTACCTATTTACATTATGAGAAATATAATGATAAATGCTAATGATTTTGATTAACTGCTATAATTCAACACTAATGTAATATTTGATTGTACAGAAGATGAGTAGGAGTTTTCTAGCTGAGTGGTTTATAAAATGGCTATATTCACACATTTAAATTGATCATTAATTTGTGTAAATTTGAATTAATATGATTGATTTCTCTCATATTTTCTTGTTATAAACATCATTTTCTTTACCTTAGCAAAACTAGGGAAGCATTTATAAATATACATATAAATAATTATATATATCTTAGTGATATTACTCATGAGATTTCATACATGAAAGCACACTGGATATTGCCCAACAGTTACTTTTACTTATTTGCCAAATATTGTTTACATTTAAATTTGATACATTACAAATATCTTCCAGTAATGAATTAGTTTTCTAGGACTGACATAACAAATTTAACAGCCTGGGTGGGTTAAACAACAGAAACGTATTTGCTCACATTTCTGAATGTTTTAAGTCTAAGATCACAGTTTCATCAGGATTAGTTTCATTCCAAAGCCTCCCTCCTTGGCTTGTAAATAGCTGTATTATTTTGTCTTCACATGATCTTATTCTGATGTATGTGTATCCTAATCTCCTCTTATAAGGACAGCAGTCGTATTGGATTAAAGCCCACCTTTAAAGACTTCATTTTAATTCAACTACTTCTTTAAAGACTCATCTCCAAATATAGTCACAATCTGAGGTACTGGGGGTTAGGATGTCAACATATAAATTTTGGGGGAACGTAATGGAGTCATAAAGAGTAACCATCATCCTCTTGTTATGTTGTTTTAACTAAAATATATATTAATAAAATCAAGCAAAATTATATTGAGATTTTTCTAGTATTAAGTAAAGGCCATCATATTAAAACATTACCATTAAGACATGTCCATGAATTTAAGGCTGATAATCTGATATAGGAATTTGTTGTGGGAAAAAATATGCATATGCCAAAGTACATTTTTTTTTTCGCCTTCCCAGCGTTTATTTATCTCCCTTTCTAAAGTGAATACTTAGATAATTTGTATTCTGGTCAACAATATGGTTTCAGGAAATCTGCTGATATGGGGCCTCCTCCATTGGTGTAAGCAATGAGCACATTACACAATCTACCTTATTCCTATCACTATATCAAGTGGTCCAGGACTGGGACTAATTTTCTAGAAGAGGAGAAAACAGAAAACAAAAACCCTTTCCTAGAAATTAGTCGAGTGGGAAAGAAAGATTCTTTCATCTCTGGTTGTGAAGATGTGAGTTGTAGCCCCAGAATTTGTGATGAATATGTTTGTTCCAGGTTAGATTTGCTACAAGATGATTATAAACTGGAGTTTACATAAGGATGTACACTAGGCCTTTTTTCCTCCCTCCCTGCCTCCCCCCTCCCCCCTCCCTCCCTCCCTCCTTCCCTCCCTCCCTCCCTCCCTCCCTCCCTCCCTCCCTCCCTTCCTTCCTTCCTTCCTTCCTTCCTTCCTTCCTTCCTTCCTTCCTTCATTTTCTATTATAACAAATGACCAAGAACTGGGTGCTTAAAACAACAGAAATTTATTCTCATAGTTTTGAAGGCCACAGGTCTAAAATTAAGGTGCAAGTGGGGCTAGGCTCCCTCTAGATGCAGGACTAGAAGAAAATTCATGTATTGCCTCTTGCTTATGGTGATTGTTGAAATTCCTTGACTTGTGGCTGCATCTCTCTGTCCTATCTGCACATCACCTTTTCTCTGTGGTTGTCTGTGTCAAAATTAACTCTACCTCACCCTTAGTAAGAATACACTCGAGTGCATTTAGACCCACCACAATATTCCAGGATAAATTATTCTTTTCAAGATATTTACCTTAATTATTTATTTTGGCATGTAAGGTAATATATTAATACATGATTTGCTATATAAGATAATATTTATAGGTTTAATTAATTAGGAAGTGAATATATATTGGTTAGGGGGCACATTTTTAGTCTAACATGAAAAGTATAGTAGGGATAACATGTAGGATTGAGCAGAAGTAAAGACTGGGCTATGATGCCATCTCAATGGGGACCTCAGTCAAACTCACAGTGGTAACTGAAGCAACGGCCTTACAGCATTGTCCAAAGGTGAGATAAACTGGGCAGGGCTCTCTAACCCTCGTCATCCAGTTATTAAATGTAGCCTTTTCCAGAAAGAATGCATCATATTGGGTGAGTGATTCTTGCCAGTTGAGGCAATTCTCAAAGATGGCTGACGACTATTCGTTAGTTAGACTCTCAACAGCTGATAGAACACTTTCTGTATTCCAGAAGGAGAAATTGCTGGCATTACATCACAGCATTCACTAAAATGTAAATTCACAGGAAAATATGCATGAAAGCCAAACAGAAACAAATGTAAGATTTAGGTTTGCCAAGCTCTAGATTCAAACTGATTAGATCTTTGGAAATCTTCCTTTGATTCTGAAAGTGATATAAATTCCTTTGCTGCAAATTTTTGCTTAGAGTACATATAAAATGTGTTTATGTTATTTCCAACTAGTCCAGAAAAATATAAAAAATGTACAGAAATATGTATATTTCAAAGCTAAACAAGAAGAACTGCAAGAAATGTACTAAAAACTGTCTCCTTATTATAGATATTAAGTTTAGTTGTATAGATGGTTTTTCTGTTACTGCCTAAAATCCTTTACTTGATAACATTTTCACATTATTGTCATAAGCAATACAATTACTCAAGGCTAGCCTCAAAACCCTGTGGTATAATGCTACTCCAGATATTTTCCCAGATCAGTAAGAATCATTCTCTTATGTGTGCTGTTAGAAATGCATAAATCTTGGGCTGCAAGTTGTGTCTTCTATGTCAGAATCTCAGAGTGGTGGCTTGAGAATCTTTGATTTAATACATGCTTTGATTTAATAATACATTCAGGTTATTCTTGACAGAAGCTTGTATTTCAGATTTATTTTTATTTTTTGTTTTTATTGCCTTTTAATAGGCATGTAGTGGTATCTATTTGTGATTTAATTTGTGTTTGCCTAATGATTAAATATATTAAGCATTTTTATATCTTTATTTGGTAATATATCTCTTAAATTCTTTGCCCATTTTCTTTGCATTGTTATTATTGTGTTTTGAGAGTTTTAATATACTTTAGGATCAAGTCATTTATTAGGTATATAATTGGCAAATATTTTCTCTTAGTTTGTACCTTTTCACTCTCTTAACTTCATGTTCTGTAGAACCAGAAATTCTTAATTTTGATAAACTCCAAAGAATTTTTAATGTATCACGTCTTTAATATCAAAACAAATAAATTTTTCTAAAAACAAGAGCAAAAATATTTCTTCCTATATTTTCTCCTAGAAGTTGTGTAGTTTTACATATGTGTCGCTAATCAATTTTGAGTTAATTATTTTCTAGGAGGAGAAATACAGATTGTGGTTTTTCCTTTTAAATTTTTTTGCACATGGGTAAATAATTGTCCCATAAATTATTATTTGTTCTAAAAGCATTTTTGAATTGATGATGCACCTTGTCCAAAATTAATTAACCACATATAGGTAGATCTATGTCAGGATGTTGTTTCTTCTTAAAATGTAATATATATATATATATATATATATATATATATATTTTTTTTTTTTTTTTTTTTCTATCTCACAATTAGTACAAAAACAGGCCAAGACAGATGAGGCCACAAAATATACTAGGGCATTTGTAATGTCCACTTTATTGTTTCATTGACTGATATGTCTTTTTTTCCTCCAACACTATACTGCATGGTTTATTGCAGGTTTAAAGAAAATTTTGAAACAAGGCAGTTTGAGTTATTTGAGTATTTTTGTTTTTCAGTTGTATTTTTTAAATAGCCAGTAATTTGGCTATTCCAATTCTTCTGTTTAAACAAATTTAATAATCAGTTTTGCAATTTTTTCAAAACATCTACTTAGGCTTTTAATTGGGATTGTAGTTAATCAACTGGTCAACATAGGAAGAATTTACATTTTAGCATTATTTAATCTTTTGAAATTGTCTGAAAACACATTTCTCCACTTTTGAAAGAGACTATCACTGAGTATAGAATTTAAATTGACAGATTTTTATTTCAGCCCCTTGACAATGTCACATTGTCTTCAGACTTCTATTGTTTTTGTTGAGAAATGAACTTTATTTCTTATTCTTGACCCTTTTATGTAATACATTATTTGTTCTTTGGATGCCTTTAATATTTCCATTTGTCTTTGTTTTTCAACAGCTTTCATGTTATTTTGTTGTCACTCTTTTGTTTATGCTGATCATGTTTCTTGAGATTTTGGGTGCCTTCTTAGATATTGGCTCTTGTTATATTTAATTAATTTTAGAAAATTTTTTGCAATCATATTTTCAAAACATTTTCTCTATTTTTCTGTTTTAGATTGCAACTACATGTATATTAAATGAAACAAATAGATAATGACATATCATTAAAAATCTCTTGGATTCTGTGTTCTGGATTCTCTATATTTTTCTTTATTCTTCAGTTGTCCAAGTTTTACCTATCTGTCCTCAAGTTTACTCATTATTTCCACAAATGTGTCAAGTCTACTGAGAGTTTTTTTTATCATTCTGTTACTATGTTTTGCATTTCTATTTTCTTTTTATTTTTCTAATTGTTTTTATCTCTGTGCTGAAATTATCTATCTCATCATGCATATTTTCCACATTTTTCATTGAAGGCTTTAATAAATAGTTATTTTAAATCTCTTAATGGATACTTCTAACATCTGCACTTTATCTAGATCTACTCCTATTTATTGATATTTCTTTTCACAGCTCTTGTTTTCTTAACACTTTGTTTGCCTCATATGTTTCTGTGAAAAGTTAAACATATTGCAAAGGACAGTAAAAAACAGATGAAGGTAATTTGTATTTATGCCTGGAAACTAGCATGCTTTATCTTTGAATAGACCTTTACTGTGGGGGCTTGAGTCGGTCTTGTCGGGAATTGAGTTTGGATTTTACTATTGCTAATGTATGCCCCATAGGTTTCAGATTCCATCAATGCTAACTTTTGTTTGTGTTGGGAATAGATTTTCCAAAGAGTCTTGCTCAATGTCTGCACAAAACTCAGCTTTAAGTTTTCTCTTTGTAGCTATATCTCAAAGAAGGTCTTACTTCATGCTCTCCACACGTTCCCCCAATAGCAGAATGCTGTCACTTTTTTTCCTAGATACTTGTTACCTTTTGGCAGTGGATGTAGACATTCTCTGTTACTCTGAGCCTTTGTTTTAAGCACGTGCATTCCTGGGTTTCAGGAGGGGGCTTATTTTATGATTCTATACTTTCCCCATTCTGTACCTATCCCTGATGTATTCCAAAGACAAAGGCTTGTCTTTGTTTTGTTTTGCTTCCTTTTTGTTTCATTTCTCCAGTGGTATCTGTTCCCTAAGACACCTTCTTTAAGAAGATAGGAACTTCTTGCAGTGGATGAGGCTTTTGTTCGATAGAGAAAATAGATCAGAGTGGAGTATTTTCCTTTTCTTTCATTGACTATGGTCTATCTTCCTCATCCTGTACCACAGGGTCTGTAGGGGATGCTTTTCTATGAAATCTCATGAAATTTCATCATGTCTCTAATCTTTACTATTATGGGTGAATAATGAGATGAATGGAGAAGAGCCACTTGTTGGTAATTGCACTGCATCTGTGTTTCTGAAGAGTTGTAAAGTCTCATGCCACCCCAAACTCTGCCTGTATCAATTTGTTAAACATTTTAACTGAATTATTTTCAGTGACACTTGGCATCTACCCCAGGTAAACAGGAGCTCTTATCTTATTTTTCCTTAGAGGTACATACCATTCTTGGATTTCAGGTTAGTTGATTATCCTCTGATCTCAGTTGTGTAATGGGCTCAAGAAAAATTGTAATTTTGCCTATTAATCAGAATATTTTTGTTATTAGGTAAAGATTATTGTTATTTCCATCTTTCTATATCTTAATGAGAGTTGATAGAGTCTGAAAACTGAAAAATTTTAGCCAATTCTGTATGAACATAGTGTCTAATTTTTCAAATTGGTCACCAACTTATGGTGGGGAGAAATAAGGGTTACCTCCTTAATTCAAATTGTCCTCACACACAGACAGACTGTCACACACACACACACACACACACACACACACACACACAATTTAAATATGGAGAGAGATAGTAGTGAGAGAGAGAGAGAGAGAGAGACTGAGATATCTGAAAATTAAATATTTAACAGGAATTATAGGGAGAGAATATGGAATTTTTTTTTCCAGAGTGAGATAATTTAGGTGCTTGTTAATAACTAAATTATTTATGTGGAAAGGAAGTTAAATGGGTTTACTATGAATAGAAGTTGAAGAATCCACTAAGGGTGTTTGCTCTTAGTCATGATAATCATGTTAACTAAAAAGTAGTGTAAAGCCGTTACAAAATAAATAAAACATCTTTACTATATTCTGATGAATGGAAACCATACCTTGATTGGTTTTTTTACTCTAAAAATATGGGATAATCAGAGAGAAAGAGAATTAAGAGGGAGAATTTTCTTATGATAAAAGCCTTAATGTTAGGTGGCTGGTAGCTATCTTCTCCCAATAGTTCTCTGATGGTACATATCTGCATGTAATATTTAAGAAAAATGCAAATGCTCAAGTCATATCCCATATCCACTGAATTTAAGAGCTCAGAGGATGGTGCAGAAAAGTTATATTTTTATAAATAACTCAGATAATTTTTTCTTCATTCAAGAATTTTGGAAAACTATTGTCTAGGCCAGTATCAGACAATAAGAAGAATTTAATGTTCATAGAGGTGAGAAAATAAAGATGAAATTATTTTATTCATATACAGATTAGTGAGAACTGTACAGACCCAAAATAATTTATTTAAGAAAGAGAACCTTGAAAGAAGTACATCAGATGACTCTTAAAATGAAAGCAATAGGGCATTCAAAAATATTAAGGAGTGTACAATTAAAGCTCTATATAGACCTTTATGCAAATAATTGAGTAACTCTTCCTAGAAACTGGGACACTAATGCCAAATATCATTAAAAAACCAAAACTGAAACTAAATCATTTGGAAATTTGGAAAGAAAGAAATAAAATTTTCCTTGTTTGCAGATAATATGATCTTGTATTAGAAAAACCTAAAGAATCCACAAAAGAACTGATAAAAAAAATTAAGTAGAGTTGCAGGATACAAAAATCAACATACCAAAATTAGTAGCAATTCTATACGCCAAAAGTGAACAATGTGAAAAAGAAATTAAAAAGTAATCACATTTACAACAGCCACACATAAAATTAAATACCTAGGAATTAACTTAACTGAAGAAGTGAAAGACTTCTATAGAAAAAAAGCAAACAAACAAACAAACAAAAAACACTGGTGAAGGACATTAAAAAGAACACAAAAAATGAAAATATATTTTATATTCATGGATTGGAAAAATCAATATTGGTAAAATGTCTATACTACCTAAAGCAATATACAGATTCAGTACAATTCCAATCAAAATACCAATGCCATTCCTCATAGAAATAGAAAAAAAAATCCTAAAATTTATAAGAAAGCACGAAAGGCCCAGAATATCCAAAGCTATTTTAAGCAAAAATAACAAAACTGGGGGAATCATATTACCTGGCTGCAAATTATACTAGAGCACTATAGTAATCAAAACAGTATGGTACTGGCATAAAACCAGGCACATAAACCAATTGAAAAAAATAGAGAACCTGGAAACAAATTCATACACTTATAGGCAACCCATTTTTGACAAAGGTGCCAAAACCATACTCTGGGGAAAAGACAGTCACTACAATAAATGGTGCTGGGAAAACTGGATATCTATGTGCTGAAGAATGAAACTAGATCCCTATTTCTTGCTATATACAAAAATCAAATAAAAATGGATTAAAAGCCAAAACCAAAGACATCAAACTATGTAACTACTAAAAGAAAACATTGGGAAAACTCTTCAGGACATCAATTTGGGCAAAGATTTGCACAAGCAACCAAAGCAAACATTGACAAATGGAATCACATCAAGTTAAAAAAGGCCTCTGCATAGCAAAGAAAATAACCAACAAAGTGAAGAGCCAGCCAATAGAATGACAGAAAATAGTTGGAAACTACCCATCGAACAAGGCATTAATAACAGAATATATAATGAACTCAAACAACTCCACAGAAAAAAAAATCTAATAATCTAATAAAATGATGGGCAAAAAATTAGAACAGACATTCCTCAAAAGAAGACATACAAATGGCAAACAGGCATATGAAAATCAGCTCAATATCACTGATCGTCAGAGAAATGTAACTCAAAACTACAATGAGATATTATTACATTGTCATTAAAATGGCTTATATTCCAAAGGACAGGCAATAACAAATGCTGGCTAGGATGTGGAGGAAAGAGAACCCTTGTACATTGTTGGTGGGAATTTAAATTAGTACAACGATGGAGAACAATTTGTAAGTTTATTGAAAAACTAAATTGAGGTACTATGTGATCAAGCAATGCTACTGCTAGGTACAGACACAAAAGAAAGAAAACCAGTATATTGAAGAGATATCCGCACTGTTATGTTTGTTGCTGCACTATTCACAATAGCCAAGATTTGAAAGCAACCTAAATGTCCATCAACAAATGAATGGATGTATTAGGCTGTTTTCACATGGCTATAAAGAAATGCCTGAGATTAAGTAATTCATAAAGAAAAGTGGTTTAACTGATGCACAGTTCTGCATGGCTGGAGAGGCCTCAGAAAACTTACAGTCATGATAGAATGGCAAGCAAGCCACATCTTACATGCCAGGAGGAGAGAAGAGAAGAGTGAATGAAGTAAGAACTGCCAAACACTTTTAAAGTCATCAGCTTTTCTGAGACCTCTATCACTATAATGAGAAGAGCATGGGGAAAACTGCCCCCATGATTCAATCACCTCCCACTCAGTCCCTACCTTGACACATGGGGATTACAACTTGAGATGAGATCAGGGTGGGGACACAGAGCCAAACCATATTATTCTGTCCCTGGTCACTCCCAAATCTCATTCTCTTCACATTTTCAAAACCAGTTATGCCTTCCCAATAATCCTCCAAAGTCTTAACTCATTCCAGCATTACTTCAAAGTCCAAGTCCAAAGTCTCATCTGAGACAAGGCAAGTCCCTTTTGCCTATGAGCCTTTAAAATCAAAAGCAAGTCAGTTACTTCCAAGATGCAGTGGAGGTACAGGCATTGGCTAAATGTTCCCATTCCAAATAAGAGAAAACAGCCAAAACAAAGGGGCCAAAGGCTGCATGAAAGTCCAAAACCCAGCAGGGCAGTTATTAAATCTTAAAACTCTGAAATAATCTCCTTTGACTCCATGTTTCACATACAGGGCATTATGATACAATGGGTAGGCCCCACAACCTTGGGGAGTTCCAATCCTATGGCCCTGCAAGATACAGCCCCTGCAGCTGCCTTCACAGGCTGACATTGAGTGCCTGCAGCTTTTCAGGTTCATGGCACAAGCTGTTGGTAGATGTACCTTTCTGGAGTTTGGAGGACGGTGGCCTTCTTACAGCTCCTCTAGGTAGTGCCCCAGTAGGCACTCTGCATGAGGGCTCCAACTGCACATTTCCCCTCTGCATTGCTCTATTAGAGGTTCTCCATGAGGGCTCCAACTCTTCAGCAGGCTTCTGCCTGGAAATTCAGGTGTTTTCATACATCCTCTGAAATCTAGGTAGAGGTTCCCAAAACTCAACTCTCATGTGTGCACCTGCAGGCCCAAAACCATGTGGAAGCTGCCAAAATTTGGGGCTTGCATGCTCTAAAGCAATGGCCTGAGCTGTAGCTGGTTCCCTTTTAGCCATGACTAAAGCTAGAAGGGCTAGGACACAGGGCAGCAAGTTGCAAAGCTGCACAGAGCAGCCGGGCCCTGGGCCCAGTCCAGGAAGCCATTTTTCCCTCCTAGGCCTCCTGACTGGTGGGTGATTCTGCAAAGATCCCTGACATGCCCTGGAGACATTTTTCACATTATCTTGGTGATTAACATTTGTCTCCGCGTTACTTATGCCCATTTCTGCAGCCAGCTTGAATTTCTCCTCAGAAAATGGGTTTTGCTTTTCTATCGCATCGTCAGGCTGCAAATTTTCTGAACTTTTATGCTCTATTTACCTTTTATACATAAGTTCTAATTCCAAACCATATCTTTGTGAATGAATAAAACTGAATGCTTTTAAGAGCACTCGAGTCACTCTTTCAATGCTTTGCTGCTTAGATTTTTTTTTTTTTTTTTTTTTGCCAGATACCATAAATCATCTCTCTCAAGTTCAAAGTTCCACAGATATCTAGGGCAGGGGCAAAATACCACTATTCTTTTTGCTAAACCATAAAGCATAGGGAGAATCACCTTTACTCCAGATCCCAATAAGTTGCTCATCTCCATTTGAGACTTCATTGTTTATATCACTATGAGTATTTTGGTCAAAAACATTCAACAAGTTTCTAGGAAGTTCCAAACTTTCTCACATCTTTCTTTTTCTGAGCCCTCCATACTGTTCCAACCTCTGCCTGTTACCCAGTTCCAATGTAGTTTCCATATTTTCAGTTTATCTTTATAGCAATGACCTACTACCTTGGTACCAATTATCTGTATTAGGCTGTTTTCACACTGCTATAAGGAAATGCCTGAGAATGAGTAATTTATAAAGGAAAGAGATTTAATTGACTCACAGTTCTGCATGGCTTGGAAGCCTCAGAAGACTTACAATCATGGTGGAAGGAGAAGGGGAAGCAAGGCACATCTTACATGGCAGTGGGAGTAAAGAGAAGAGTGAATGAAAGAGAACTGCCGAACACTTAAAACCATCAGCTCTCATGACAACTCCCTCACTGTCATGAGAACAGCATGGGGGAAACTACACCCATGATTCAATCACCTCCCATCAGCCCCTGCCCAACCCATGGGGATTACAATTTGAGATGAGTTTTGGGTGGTGACACAGAGCCAAACCACATTAATGAATAAAGAAAATGTGGTACATACACACAATGGAATACTATTCAGCCATGAAAAAGAATGAGATCTAGTGATTTGCATCAACATGGATGGAACTAGAGGTCATTATGCTAAGTGAATAAGTCAGGAACAGAAAGACAATCATCACATATTCTGACTTATTTGTGAGATCTCAAGATCAACACAATCGAACTCATTGGTAATAGAGAGTAAAAATATGGTTACTATGGGCTGCAAAGGGTAGTGGGTGGCAGGGGGAGGTGGAGTGGATAATGGATACAAAAACTTAGAATGAATAAGTCCTACTCTTTGATAGCACAGTAGGGTGACTGTAGTCAATAATATATTAATCCTATATTTTAAAATGACTTAAAGGATGTAATTGGATTATTTGTAACCCAAAGGATAAATGTTTGGGTGAATGGCTAGCATTCTGCATGATGTGCTTATTTCACATTGCATACCTGTATCAAAACTTCTTGTATACCCCATAAATATATACATCTACTATGTACACACAAAAATTTTAAAAAATTAAAAAATAAAATATATAATTTTAGGCAAAAATACAAATCAAAAATGAGCATAAAAATGTTATCTGTGAACCATGTGTTGAAAAAAAAAATTGAGTTTGATATCTAAGGGATGGCTCAGGAAAAATGAACCATGGCAAAGGAGAGCTTGGCAGGAAATGGAAGTTTCAATTTTAGGCACTAGTTAGATACTTTCCTAGTAGAAAGTAGCTGCTAGAGTAATGAAAGTGAACACAATCCTGGTCCCAGTCCATACAGATTCATCTCATTGTGGATGACTTAACAAAATTAAATAGAGGAACATTTGTTGTTAAAAATATAAATAATAAATATGTGGGATATAGAACAAAGGCTAAGCACAATAAATAAATTACAATTGAATAAAAGAATATTGATACTATGTAGGATGATAAGACAAGAGATCAACTAAGGGAGAAGTTTAAAATGTTAAAACACACACTAAGAATTGAACATTTAAAAAAAAATATATTAATAAACAAAAATTTGGAATAGATTCACCACAGACATATACTATCAATACTGAGAGAGGAGCTAGATACAATAATTTTGTTGCTTTTTAAAGTAACACAATTTGTGCAAGCCTAGAAAAATATAATAGCCAAGAAAAAGCTGAGTTTTTTGGAAGCATATATGACAAAGTTACTATGTTCACTCTTTCTCTGGAGGCACAATTTTCATGGAACTGACAGTGACTTCAGGGCAGGAGTCAGCTAAAGGAGTTTCTTCATTGAAACACATGTTGTCACTCAAATGGAAAAGACTGCTAGGTGGCAGATTTTGTGGCCTTCATAGTAAGTGACACATAATGAGAAGCATTGGTAGCCACTATCAAGAATCAGAACACGTAATCGTTCATCATGATGGTGGGGTGAATGTGTCAGAAGGAAAAAACCTAAAAGGTAAATAAAAACTGCAGCTTTTAAAATATGTATGATTGGACATCATGCCCTAGATAAGATTGTGGTTAGGAATGATGTTTGTAAAAATAGCAAAAAGTTATCAAGTGGCAATTTCAATGGGTGGAGGATTTAAAACATTTCTGTACTGTTTTTTTTGTTCTTTGTTTTTTTTATCAGTGGGAAATTCTTGTGAAAGTTACTGTATTAATGCCGTTTTCCCCATGGAGGTAGTCACAGGTTGTATACTCTTAGAGCTGTATATTGGTCTGGGTCTACCTTTCTCTTTTCTACTATGATCTATGATTGCAAGGAAAAGAGTCAGAATTCATCCAGTTCTGTATTCTCAGATAAGTATTTAAGTTGCTCAGAATTCATTTTGCTTTATAAAATAAATGTATGTATAGCCAATGCTTCAGTAATTTTAATACATTCTGAATTGCTTAACTGTATTAAAAGTGGAGGGCACATCGAAATTGAATACCCCAAACTTTCTCTCACCACTTTAAATCGAGAAAACTTTCTCTAAGCATCCAGATTTCCTACAGGCACATTAGTTCTTGACTGATGAACAGCAAAACATAACATAAAGACTGATATAAACACCCATCTTCATTTTCTTTCACCCTGTCTTTCTCTAAGAAGGAATTATCCTATACAATTTTAAAATCTAAAGCCTTAGTCAGGATATTTAATCTCATCTCTTTAGAACTTTGTTTAATTTCATACTCCACTGCTTCCTTTTCCTCTGTCCATAAAAATGGCAAAGACTCTCTGTGTCTAAGAATGTCCCTCATTCTTGCTGTCTTCTGAAGCTGCCTCCATTTCTCTCTGCATAGAAAATAGCCCAGGTCCTTAATCCCAGTGCAAGAGTCAGAATATAATTAAACCAGAGCTGAATGGATGTGAGAGAAAGGTGATGCCTAGTTCTATTTATCTGCTCTTTTTCTTCTCCTTATCCAGAGGAAGAATTTCAAGAACCATTTTGGTGTTTATGAGCAAAGTAATTGTCAGAATGACTTGGGTGCTTCTTAAATATTTACCTCAATTTGTAATTACCATTAAATAAAACGTTTTATTTTGGGTTTTGTAAAACAGAATCGCAAAATTTTTCTCAACTTCAGCCAGATGTACATTTGGTAGAAGAATATGATACAATGTATAACAATGGTATCACCATGTATTAAAACAAATCCAACCAATCATAGACTTAAAAAAAGACTAAAGCTAATTCTGCAATTGCCTTGCACCCCCTGTATTTTTTTCCCTGGTATTGCTTTGATGCCATGGAACCCCAGCCTTCCCCTCAACAGTCAATTAGAAACTTAATTTGGAGTCATTCTTTTATATATATATATATATATATATATATATATATATATATGTGTGTGTGTGTGTGTGTGTGTGTGTGTAATGTATATGTATAATATATATGTGTAATGTATATGTATAATATATATGTATAATATATATACACACATACATCTACACATACAGTTTTTCAGTTTTTACTTTAGGTTCAGGGGTACATGTGCCAATTTGTTACATGGGTCGATGGTGTGTCACTAAGGTTTGTACGAATGGTTCAGTCACCCAGGTAGTGAGCATAGTACCCAATATGTAGTTTTGTAACCTGCATCCCCACAAGTCTTGCATCTTTATATCCATGTGTGCTCAATGTTTAGCTACCACTTACAAGTTAGAATATGCAGTATTTGGATTTCTGTTCCTGAATAAATTCACTTAGAATAATGGACTGTAGCTGCATCCATGTTTCTTTAAAGAACATGATTTCATTTTTTATGGCTGCATAGTATTCTATTGTGTGTATGTACCACATTACTTTTATCCAGTCCACTGGTGATGGTCATCCTGGTTGGTTCCATGTCTTTGCTATTGTGAATAGTGCTACAATGAGCATACGATTGCACGTGTCTTTTTGGTTGAATGACTTATTTTTCTTTGGGTACATAATAGGCAAAGGGCATGAACAGACATTTCATAAAAGAAGACATTTATGCTGCCAACAAATATGTGAAAAAATGATTAACATCACTAGTGATTAGGGACTTGCAAATCAAAAACCATATTGAGATTCCATCTCACATCAGTCGGAATGACTATACTAAAAAGTCAAAAAATAACAGACGTTGACATGGTTGTGGAGAAAAGAGAATGCTTATACACTGTTGGTGAGAATGCAAATGAGTTTAGCTATGATGGATTGCAGTATGGAGATTTCTCAAATAATTTAAAATAGAACTGCCATTTGACCCAGCAACTCCATTACTGGGTATATACCCAAGGGAAAATAAATCCTTATTTATATTTTTACCACCTCTTCTTCACTGTGCTAAAATGTCAGACAGTTGGAAGTTCCTTGGAATGACTATCTAAATGCCAGACTTCAGAGGCCATTTCTCTGAATGTCAGCAATCGTACCGCAATTGCCCTCCAATTTTCTGCCTATCTGCCCCGATCAACACTTGAACCTGGAGGGTCAACAATTAGTTGGTAGTTATTCTGAGTGGACATGGAGAGAGAATGGGGGATTATATTTTCTTTTATTGAGACTTTTAATTAATATTAATTTTAATTCCACTTATCACTCTTAAGATATTCTTTATCTGGGTTTTTTTACACCTTAGTCTATGCAAGTATCCACATAGCTAAACTTTCTCAAATGTAGCCATTATTCTGCAAGCAAAAAACAAACAACAGAAAAACGAACAAAAAAAATCTTCTGGATCTTAGCAATTGAAACTGCTCTAATTGCTTTTATTTGTATGATATGCTGTAGTTTCATGCATTATTTATTTACCATAATTTTAACGGCTTCTTAAAAGCAAGAGAAAGTTGAAAAATGTTTAGGTTTTCATTTTGAGCCAGAAATTCCTTAAGGTGAACAAATTGCCTTGAATTCTCAATGTTAATACAAAATGAGGAAGACAAGGGTAATCGTGCAAATACTTGATACTTTCCAAGGGCCCAGGGAGAAGGAGAAGTGTTGCAATGCTTTGCTGTTTGGTGAGTCCTTTCTCTGTCTTTATAGGGTGTTCAACTTTGTTTATAGTAGATGACAATGAATATGAAATTTGTCCTGACAACATTCATTATGCTTAGTTCAGTGCAAGTAATCTTCAGGTTATTTGGCCTAAATCTACTCCCAAGTTTTATTTTACTTTTTTGTTAATGTTAATATTTATTATTATTATATTTTGTTGTAGAGGTCCACAGACTAATGCAATCACAGGGAAAATATAATAAGGCCTTTGACATTTTTGGAAAATTTCACTGTAGAGATTATTTTTATAGGGCAATTTATACTTTAATCAGAAGCCTATGGAAGTGCCCCATTTCTCTGCCTCTTCACTAACAGATTATTAGTATTATAATTAGAAACACAACTCTTCATTATAGAGCATAAAAATATACTTTGTTTCTAAAATACTTCAACTTTAAAGTGAATGAGTCTCACAATCACTACGTTTATTTTATCTAGTATCTTAACAGTAGCAGACTCTTCATGAAGAAAGGAAGTAAATGGACAGGAGCTCTCCACTCACTATTTCATTATAATGTACTTCTCTGAGCACTAAGAGGCAACCGTGTTAATGTATGGTGTGAATCCATAGGTTTCAGGGAAACTGTGAATCCATAATGTATCTATTTCACCCATATTTCTCTGTAGTGATTTGACTGAGGATATATACCATGAAGACCTGTGAGTGATTATATATATATATTTTCAATATATATACTTGTAATTAAAAAAAAACTTCCAAGTCTATTTAATCATTTCATTCAATAAATATTAGGATATTGTTTTTCCCATTTACCACTAACTCTGAAAACTTAACATGGCTTCTCTTTTTATTAAAATATGATCCCAACCTCTGCTTTACATTCTCGTGATGACTTGACCACAGTATTTTCACCCCATGACTCAAATTGTTATATTTCCCCTAACAATCTAACAAAAATGCGGATAGAGTTTCTAACCCTCTATTTTAGAAAACATTTTGATAATATGAGCTGTCTTCAGTTAATGTATATTTGTCATAGTTCTCAACTTGTTTTTATCTCTTGAAACAAGGTATGTTTTTCCTGTCAGAATCACAGTGGATATTTCAGCACATTGACAGAATTTAAGGAAAAAAATTTCACTAAAAATAAGCGGAACTATTTTTTAAAGGAAAAGACTCAAATTAATGGTAAAGTTTAACAGGTAGCTCAAGCAGAAGAAGTCATTTACTTGTTCTTACAACTTGTAATTAAGTGATGTGCACTCGGGGCAATCAGTTTATTGGAAGACTACAAGAATCATTATGTTCTAGCTTTTCCTCCTCCTACACGAATAATTAATATTCTGAAACAAAACATTGCAGGACACTCAAATGATGATTTTAAATATTTTCTTATTGTTAAGGAAACTATTCTACCACAAAACTAGTGAACAAAGCTTGTAATTGAATTGGGTATTTTTCTTTCTATTGTACAGAAGAAAGGCTTATTATTTCCAACTAAAAGATAAATGACATGTATTTCTCACATATCACATCATTTGCTTGTAAAACAGGTTTTCCTCTACAATTGACTTATTCTGATGGCATTCCTTGAATATTGACAGTTTTATGCATTCAATATTTATATGCACAGAATAGTGTTTAATTGACACATGTAATTAGATTTTCCGTCTACAGTTGAGTATAATTTGGCTGTGTATTGCCTAATTCAATGCAGCTTAGACACTGAAAATAATTTTATGTGGGTAATTATCTAAGTTGTTTAAACCACTGAGCTAATAAGGTGACGTTCAGGTTCATTTAGAAACTATAGTCCCTGACCCCACATAAATGTATGTTTCCTGTGTGCAAAGATAACAGACAATGGAGAGTACATGTATTTTAAAAATTTGTATTGTCTCCTGGAAACAAAATTCTGACTCAATCTTTTAACAAAAAGAACAAAAATATCATTTTTAAAGACTGAGAACATAATGGTGACTAATTGTGCCACTCTATATGTTGCTATAGTATAAAAAAATAGTTAATTGAAGATCTTTCTCCCTTCAGTATTTGTTTTTCCTCATTTCAAGAAAGTAACAGATCCTTTCCTACCACTTTTTTTTGGCAGAAATTTGTGCATTTAGGACACATTCAGAATGTTTAATTATATTCCTAAAGCTTATGATAGGAAATTTTATTGAAAATATTAAGTTCAATGCTTTCCAGGGGATTAGATGAGAATCCATGGTCTAAGAGGAGACCAAAAGGTTTAAGAGAAATTCATAGTTGAATGCATGAGAGATAATAACAGCAAACACACCGTTCATTGGAAGAACTTAAATAGATTAAAAAAACAATGCAGTTGAGGAATCTGCATGAGACACCTTGTGAGACTGGAATCTGGGCACTCTGTGCTGAGCGTTGGCCCATATTTTCTTTACTTTGCCAAACATGAGAACAACAGAACTGATAGATGTGGAGAGTCGCCTGGCTTCTACAACATTCATCTAAGTAGCAGCCATGAAAGAATTGAATCAGAAGTCTTTTGCTTCATTAAAAAATATATTGAGTCCTTACCATGCATTACAACAGTAAGAAAGATGAACACCAATTTTCTGCTGTCATCCTATAGGGCTGAGGGCAGACAATAAATCAATCAGTAAACTATGTAATGTATTAGAAAATTATAAATCCTGTGAAGGAGAAAGGTAAAAGAGTAATAAGGAAGATGGGGGTTGGAGATCAGCACTTTAAGAGATTGGTAGGAGAAAGTTTCTCTAAGGTAACACATGAACAAATAATTCAAGGAGGTGAGATGGGCACAGAGACCAAGTGCAAAAACACTTGATTGGGGGCTTCTCTGTAAATTTGAGGAATAGATAGGAGGCCTGCATGTCAGGACCTAAGTAAGTAAGGACAGAGTGATAGAAGATAAGGTTGGGCAGGTAATTCAGTGTCAATTTGTCTGCCGATTCGCTGATTTTTCACCAGATACTGTTGTAACCCTTGAAAAGAATCATGGCCGCTATGGTGACTGACATTGAATTTTAAGATAGCCTCAAAGGGTACTTGGAGTCTTGTTGAATTTAATTGGGGATATAAGATGGGGCTATCAATGCTTTGGGGAAAAAATTGTTATGCGCACTGTTAATATCCACTGTACATGCCTTCCTGCTGGTATATCCCTATACACTCCTCTCAAGAAGTAATTATATCCTTAATTGAGTGTTAATCATTGCTTTATATTTTAAAATATAGTATGTTGATATATGTAGCTATAATGTATTCATTTTCATTGCTCCCTTGGAATCAATTTTCTGAACATAACTCAGGTTATTTACCCATACCCCCATTGAGCCCATAGCCCCATTGAGCCCATACCCCCATTGAGGAACATTGTTATTATGTCCATTTTTTCTCCAATGTAAATGATGCTGATATGAACATTTTTGCATCTTTGTATTATCTCCTTATTCAAATTTTAAAGCATTTCTTAAAGGTATATATCTAACAATGTTGTGGGTCATAAAACAGGTGCATTTTAAAACTTTCTAAATCAAGTTACATTTCTCTCTATATTTGCTACACTGATATCATCCACATTCTAGGATAAAGTCATTTTTTCTAGGCAGTGGTTCCCAATAGTTTTAAGATTGCAATTGGAGCAGGTAATATTTACAATTTTCCTGACTGTCCTGTGTATTACTGAAAATTCACTGCACGTTCTTGACCACTAAATGCCTTCCAGACCTCCAGTATGTCATTTAAAAAACCCAGAAGTAAGCCTTCTCCTTCACATTTCTAAACCTTTGGCAATAGTTGGTATTTTAACTTATTTTTAAATATTTCCTATCTTTTCGTGGAGATTCTACATGCCCATCTAATGAATGTGTATTGCGTTTATCTGGAATTCCTTTGTATTTTTTTAATCAGTATACTCCATGCCTCTGGAATCTAATTCATCCCATAATGTGTGGTGAACACACGGGTTGGCTATATTTTGAGAAATTTCCCAGAATATTTTAAATATAGGTTCCTTCTAATTAATTCCTGGTTTATCAATTTGCTCATTTCCTCTGTTGCTCTTTTGGTTGAGATCATATATATATTTCTGTGGGATACTTGTGTTTATCAATTTTCTTTTGTCCATTCTTAAATTACTTTTGATGAGGATTACCTATTTATTGAATCATTTGCACATATTCAACATCAAATTTAAGTCAAATATCACTTTTTAAATGGATTTTGTAACGATTGTAGAAAGAAGGTTTATTTTGTCTTTGTTTTATGTGTTGTCCTTCGTAGTGACTGCTAAATTTTTATGTCAAATAAAATCTAAAGCATTGTGCCAGGTAATTTTACGTTTCTTAGAGAGTTAGATAAGAGGAAATAGAATCCACATTCAAGTTATACAGGATGATAAAGTAGTCAGAATGCCCTAAAATAGCTTTCTTAAATTTGTCAGTTATCTGAAGAAAATAGATCTTTCAAGAGCCATTTAAATATTCAAGACTGAATCTGACTTGGAAAGATTGGTGTTAGTCTATTCAGGATGGTAACTATTTTATATATGTTGTAATTTTAGAAGGGTTCAAAATCAGAAAAGTTTAAAGTAAATTAATAAAAAACTGTTCAATCAGATGTGATTGAGATGATGATTTGAGAAAAGGAGAAGGTCAAGGAATAGATAGACCTGGAGAAGCTGGTTAAATCACACTTTCAGAATCATTACATAGAAGAAATTACGATTACTCTAAAATGGGGTTAGTAAAGTTGGGATCCTTACATTTTTTAACTTGCTTTACTTTCCTTCTAATAACTGTGTAAAAATAAATTTCAATGAATAAAGAGAATGCACCTTAATAACATGTTCCAGAAAACCCCTATCATTATATCCAGAATTGTTCTACTTTTAATGCCAATGTAGTGTCAGGAACTGAGATTAAAAAAAAAAACACTCTACTGTGGAAATTTTAATGAACATTTATAGACAAGTATTAGTCTTAGCAGGATTCTGGTTTCAGATACTCCCTGCTACTGTAGTCAATATATTATTATGGTAGCTGCTTGCTGAATGTCATATGCTTATTTCATGCCATCATTTTCTTCCCTAGTTATTTATTGGGAGGTTTTGCCAGAGCATGAGTTATATTCATTACTCTGAAAACTAGATGGGTTTGAAACCATTTGACAAACAGAACTTTATATAAATTAACACATAGTAAAATAATTATCAATTTTCCTTAGATAACGATTTTAATAAGAGAGGAATTGTTAAAGCAAGAGATAGAATCAACAATATCAGTCAATTAGAGTTTAAAAAGTCTAGTTTAATTTTCTGTTATTTTGTTTAAAAATTTAAGTTTATCATTGACATATATTTAGCTAGTTCTGTGATAATAATGGTATATATTTTCCAATATGTTATATTTTCTGTGCATAAAATCTTTTGTTTGTGAATCTCAACATTTTTATAATAAAACATTTATGTATATAAAGAAATGTAATAATCTTAACTTTATGACTATTTTAAAACTATTTTCATAAAATGCACAGGAACAAATCACAAACTTACTGTATTATATTTCTCATGGTCAGAAGTTTGAAATAAATTTTATTAGGCTAAAATCAAGGTGTCACCAGGGCTGCATTCTTTCTATAGAGTCCATTGGAGAACCTGTTTGCTTGCCTTTGAATTATTTTACCATTGTTTTTTAAGACTGTATTTTTTATTTTAAATAAGAGATGGAGTCTCACTCTATTATCCAGTCTGGAGTACAATTGCATGATCATAGCTCACTAGAGCTTCAAACTCCTTGGATCAAGTGATCCTCTCACCTCAGCCTCCCTGTGCCTACATGTGTGTGCCACCATGCCCAGCTAACTTTTATTTATTTTTATTAGATATGGTGTCTTGCTATGTTGCCCAGGTGAAGACTGTATTTTTAGAGCAGTTTTAGATTTACAGCAACATTAAGAAGGAAGTACAGAGATTTTTTATGAATCCCCTGCAACTGTTTTCTTTTATTTTACTAAAGACTGGCCTGTAATTTCTGTTTTAAATCACTGGTTATCTTCAACTTGGAAAATTTTTTCAGTTGCTATTCTGATGAAATTAGTTCTTCCAGTGTATGACATTGTGGTTGATGTTACGTTTTCTTTGATTCAAATTCAAGGTGTCAGAGATGGGGTAAAATGGTGAAATAGAAGGCTCTACCAGTTACCCCCAACTACCCACAAGGACAAAATTTAACAAATATGTACACAAGAAAAGCACCTTCATAAGAAGTAAAAATCAGTTAAGCCCTCACAGTACCTGGTTTTGAATTCACATCGCTGAAAGAAGCACTGAATAGGTAAGAAAAACAGTATTGAATCGCTGACATCACCTGTCCCCCTGCAATCAGCCACCCACAAAGGGACCATATAAAATAGCCCTGGCCATAGTGGAACTGCCAATAATAGCAGTAGAAATTGAGTTACCACAAGCCTTGCCACCACAGGCTACAGTGCCCTGGGGCCCTAATAAACTTAAAAGGCTGTCTAAGCTACAAGGTCTGCAACTTTTGCACAAGTCCTACTGCTGAATTGTGCTCAGAGACAGTAGACACGGGGGAATAGGTGATCTACTGCGACACCAGCTGGAGCAGCTAATGGAGTATTGGCATCATTCCTCCCTTAACATGAGGCTGCATAGTTTATGATTCCAAAAGAGACTACTTCTGGCTGGGCACAGTGGCTCACGCCTGTAATCCCAGCATTTTGGGAGGCTAAGGCAGGCAGATCACGAGGTCAGGAGTTCGAGACCAGCCTGACCAATATGGTGAATCCCCATCCCTACTAATAATACAAAAAGTACCCGGGTGTGGTGGTGCATGCCTGTAGTCCCAGCTACTTGGGAGGCTGAGGCAGGAGAATCACTTGAACCCGGGAGGTGGAGGTTGCAGTGGGCCGAGATTGCCCACTGCATTCCAGCCTGGGTGACAGAGTGAAACTCCATCTCAAAAAAAAAAAAAAAAAAAAAAAAAGAGAGACTACTACTTTCCTTTTGAGGAAAGGAGAGGGAAGAGTGAGAAGTATTTTGTCTTGTGTATTGGATACCAACTCAGCCACAGAAGGACAGGGCATCTGGGCATCTATCACAGTCATGAGACATTCTTTCCAAGCCCTACCTCCTAGACGACATTTCTATGAACACACCCTTAGGCAGAAAGAAATCTGCTGCCTTGAAGAGAAAGACCCAGTCTCAGCAGGATTTATCACATTCTAACTGAAGAGCCCCTTGGCCCTGAATGAGCAGTGACACCAGGTACTATGTCAAGGGCTTTGGGTGAGGCTCTGAGACTTTCTGGCCTCAGAAGAGGCTTAGCACATTCCCAGATATGGTGGCTATTTGGTGAGACAGTTTCTGCTTGAGAAAAGTAGAGGAAAAAGTAAAGGGGACTTTGTCTTGAACTTTAGGTACCTGCTCAACCACAGGGAGATAGAGCACCAAGAAAGCACTTGGGGTCCCTAATTCCAGGACATGGCTTTTGGATGCCATTGATGTACCTGCCCAGGGCCAGAAGGGAACCTATTGCCTAGCAGGGTGAGTCAGGGTGATTCCCAGTCCAGGCAGCATTTATAATGTGTTTATCCAAGTGCCCCAGAGCCTTAAAAGGATATCAGCAGTAGTCTGGCAGCACTGTCCTTGGACCTGTGGTGGCAGTGGCCACAGGATGGGGTTCCTTTGTCTTTGGAAAAGGAAAGAAATTGTGGGAATGACTGCTTCTTGTGGTTTGAGAGCCAGTTCAACCTTAATACAATAGAATTCCAGGGAGACTTCTAAGGTTTTGACCCTAGTCCCTGACTTCCAGATGGCATTTCTGGACCCACTCAGGGCCTGGGGGACCTCACTGCCTTGAAGGGAAAAACACAGGCCTGGCTAGCTTTGCCACTTGGTAAGTGTAGTGGAAGAGAACAAAAGTATCTCCCTGGTAATCTAGAGAATCATCACAGATTTTGTCCAACACCATCAAGCCAGTACCTATACAAGTTTGCAAGAACCACATTATTACTGGGCTTGGTTCCATATCTTTAAAGCAGGTACAGCTTAGATCACAACACCAAGTCCTTGTGAATATCTGGAAAGCCTTTTCAAGAAGTACAGGTACCCAGACAGTGACAACTATATGCCTAACTCTTCAATGCCCGGAAGAAGACAAACATCTACAAGTATCAATACATTCCAGAAAAAAAAAAAAAACCAACCTTAGCAGATGAACTAAATAAAGCACCAGAGACCAATCCTGGAGAAACAGAGGTATGTGATCATTGAAACAGAGAGTTCAAAGTAGCTGTTTTGAGGAAACTCAAATAAATTCAAGATATCACAGAGAAGAAATTCTGAATTGTATCAGATAAATTTCACAAAGATATTGAAATAATTAAAAAGCAAGTAGAAATTCTGGAGATAAAAAATGCAGTTACTGTACTGAAGAATGTATTGGATTTTTTTTTTTTTAGACGGAGTCTCACTCTTGCCCAGGCTGGAGTGCCGTGGCGTGATCTCGGCTCACTTCAAGCTCCACCTCCCGGGTTCACACCATTCTCCTGCCTCAGCCTCCCGAGTAGGTGGGACTACAGGTGCCTGCCACCATGCCTGGCTAATTTTTGTATTTTTAGTAGAGACAGGGTTTCACCGTGTTAGCCAGGATGGTCTGGATCTCCTGACCTCGTGATCCACCCACCTCGGCCTCCCAAAGTGCTGGGATTACAAGGAATGTTTAAATAGCAGAATCAATCAAGCAAAAGAAAGAGTTAGTGAGCTTGAAGAAAGGCTATTTGAAAATACATAGTCAGAGGAGACAAAAGAAGAAAAAGCCAGTGAAACCTACCTGTGGAATCTAAATAATAGCCTCAAAAAGGGCAAATCTGAGACTTGTTGGCCTAATAAGAGAGTTAGGAAAGGAGAAGGGGTAGAAAGTTTATTCAAAACGATAAAAACAGGAAATTTTTAAAACCTAGAGAAAGTTACTAATACCCAAGTACAAGAAGGTTATAGAACACCAAGCAGGTTTAACCTAAAAAAGACTACCTCCAGATATTTAATAATCAAATTACCAAGGATCAATGACAAGGAAGGACTCTTAAAGCAGCAAGAGAAAATACATAAATGACGTACAATGGAACTCCAACACATCTGGGAGCATACTTTTCAGTAGAAAGTTTATGGGCCAGGAGAGAGTGGCATGACATATTTAAAGAGCTGAAGGAAAATAACTTTTACCCTAGAATATATATCTAGTGAAAATATCCTTTATACATAAACAAAAGCTTAGTGATTTCATTGACACTAGATCTGTCCTACACTATATACTAAAAGGAGTGCTTCAATCAGAAACAAAATGCTGTTAATGAATAATAAGTAATCGTGTGAAGATAGAAAACTCACTGGTAATAGAAAGTACACAGAGAAACACAGAATATTATAACTGTGGTGTGTAAACTATTCTTATCCTAAGTAGAAAGACTAAATGAAGAATCAGTCAAAAATAGTAATGATGACAACTTTTCAAGACATAGTATAATAAGATAAAATAGAAACAAGAAAAAGTCAAAAAGTGGAGGGATGAAGTTAAGGAATTGAGTTTGTATTAGTTTTCTTTTTGCTTGGTTGTTTACTTGTTCATATAGACAAATAAACAGTTTTTTATATCAAGAAGATATAACAGTTTTAAATATATGTGCACCTAATGCTGGAGCACCCAGATATACAAGGCAAATACTATTAGAACTGAAGAGAGAGAGAAGTCCCAATACAATATTCACTGGAGACCTCAACACTTTCAGCATTGGACAGATCTTCCAGACAGAAAATCAAAAAAGAAACATCAGCTTTAATCTGCATTATAGACCAAATGGATCTAATAGATGTTTATAGGACATTTCATCTAAGTGCTTCAGAATACACATTCTTTTCATCAGCACAGGGAACATTCTTGAGGAAAGACCATATATTAAGTCACAAAAAAAAGTCTTAAAAAATTCAAGAAACTGAAATAGTAACAAGCATATTTTCTGATCAAAATGGAATAAACCTGAAAATCAATATCGAGGATTTTTTGAAAATATATGAATACATGTAAATTAAACAATACACTCCTGAATGACCGGTGGGTCAATGAAGAAATTAAGTAAATTGAAAAATTTCTTGAAATATGTGGTAATGAAAACACATACTCAAATTTATGGGATACAGCAAAAGCAGTACTAAGAGGGAAGCTTATAGATATAAGCGCCTATCTCAATAATGGAGAATAACTTCAATCTGACAATGCATCTAAATTTCAGAGCAGAAATAAAAAGTATTTTTGAAATGAAGAAAATAAAAAAGACAAATGAGAAAAAGTTGGTTTTCAGCAAAATTAAACAAAATTGAGAAACTTTCAGCTAGACAAATTTAAACAAAAAAGAGAGAAGATCCAAGTAAAGAAAACCAGAGGCCAAAAAGGAGACATTAAAACTGACACTATAGAAATTTAAAAGACCACTAGTGGCTACTTTGTGTGACTATATGCCAACAAATTGGAAAATCTTCAAGAAATGGACAAATTTGTAGATACATATAACCTACCTAGATTAAACCAGAAAGAAATCCAAAACCTGAACAGAGCAAGTAAAGAGATCAAAGCCACTATAAAAAGTCTTCCAGTAAAGAAAAGCCTGGGACCTGATGGCTTCACTAGTATATTTTACCAAACATTTAAAGAACGAATACCAATCCTACTTAAAGTATTTTAAAAAATAGAGGAGAAGGGAATACTTCCAAACTCATTCTATGAGTCCAGTACTACCCTGATATCAAAACCAGACAAAGTCTCATCAAAGAGAAAACAACAGGCCAATATCTCTGATGAATACTGATTCAAAGATCTTCAACAAAATACTAGCAAACCAAATTCAACAATACCTTAAATATATTAGTCATCATGACCAAATGAGATTTACCCCTGGGATGCAAGGATGATTCAACATATGCAAACCAATCCATGTAACACATCGTGTCAAGGGACTGAAGGACAAAAATTATGTAATCATTACAATTGATGCTGAAAAGCAATTGATAAGGTTTCACATTCCTTAAAGATAAAATACTTAAAAATGGGCATGAAAGAAACATAACTCAACACAGTAAAAGCCATATATTACAGACCCACAGTTAGTAACATGCTAAAGGAGAAAAACTAAAAGCCTTTCTTCTAAAATCTGGAACATGACAAGGATGCCTACTGTCACCACTGTTATTCCACATAGTACTGTAAGGGCTAGCTAGAACAATCAGACAAGAGAAAAAATACAAAGAACATTCCAATTAGAAATCAAGAAGTCAAATTACCCATGTTTATAGATGATGTGATCTCATATTTGGAAAAACCTAAAAACTTGACAAGAAAACTACTAGAAATGATAACTTCAATAAAGTTGCAGGGTACAAAATCAACATACAAAAATCATTAGCAATTCTATATGCTGACAGTGAGCAATCTGAAAAAGAAAGAAAGAAGTAGTCCCATTTACAGTAGACATGAATAAAATTAAGTATCTAGGAGGCCGGGTGCGGTGGCTCATGCCTGTAATTCCAACGCTTTGGGATGCTGTGATAGGCGTTGACGCCAGGAGTTCCTGACCAGCCTGGTCAATATAGCAAAACCCCGTCTCTACCAAAAAATACAAAAAAAATTAACCAGGCATGGTGGCACACATCTCTAGTCCCAGTTACTTGGGATGCTGAGGCACAGGAATCCCTTGATCCTGGGAGGTGGAGGTTGCAGTGAGGCAAAATTGTGCCACTGAATTCTAGCCTGGGCAACAGAGTGAGACTCTGCCTAAAAAACAAAACAAACAAACAAATGAATAAATAAAATTATATATATAGAAATGAAGTAACAAAAGGTGAAATATCTCTATAATAAAAACCATTAAACACTGATTAAGTAAATTAAAGAGGACACCAAAAAATCAAAAGCTAGTACATGTTCATAAATTGGAATTATCACTATGGTTAAAATGTTCTTACTACCCTAAGCAATCTACAGATTCAATGCAATCCCTATCAGAGTACCAAAGACATTCTTCACAGAAATAAAAAAAAAGTCCTAAAATGTGTATGAAACCACAAAAAGACTCAGAATGGTCAAACCTCTCCTAAGCAAAAAGAACAAAACTTGAGGAATCACATTACCTGACTTCAAATTATACTACAGCTCTATAGTAACCAAAACAGCATGGTACTGGAATATAAACAAATAGACCAATGGAACAGAATAGAGAACCCCTAAACAAATTTAGACACCTTCTTTGACAAAGGTGCCAAGAACATATACTGGTTAAAAGACAGTCTCTTCAATAAATGGTGCTGGGAAAACTGGATATCCATATGCAGAGGAATGAATCTAGACCCCTATCTCTTGCTATATACAAAAATCAAATCAAACTGGATTAAATACATAAGTCTAAGACTCAAACCATAAAACTACTAAACTTAAATGTTTGGAAATATATCTCCAGGACATTGGTCTGGGCAAAACTCCAGCATAATACCCCACAAGCACAGGCAACCAAGGCAAACATGGACAAATGGGATCACATCAAGTTAAAAAGTTTCTGCACAGCAAAGAAAACAATCAACAAAATAAAGAGACAATGCACAGAATAGGAAAAATATTTGCAAACTACCCATCTGACAAGGGATTAATATCCAGAATATATAAGGAGCTCACACAACTCTATAGAAAAAAAAATCTAATTATCTAATCAAAAGATGGGCAAAAGATTTGGATAGATATTTCTCAAAAGACAACAGAAAAATGGCAAGCAGGTTTATGAAAAGGTGCTTAACATCACTGATTATCAGAGAAATGCAAATCAAAACTACAAGAAAATATTCTTTCACCCCAGTTAAAATGGCTTATAAGTAAATAACAATGTCTTATATCCATTGTATTTGGTGATATGGCTTATATCCAGGCAATAACAAATGCTGACAAGGATATGGAGAAAAGGGAACCCTCTAAAATTGTTGGTGATATGTAAGTTAGTACAACAGTATGGAGAACCGTTTGAAGCTTCCCCAAAAACCTGAAAATTGAGCTACCATATGATCCAACAATTCCACTGCTGAGTATAGGCACGAAAGCAAATCAGTATGTCAAAGAGATGTCTACACTCCTATGTTTGTTGTAGCACTGTTCACAGTTACCAAGATTTGGAAGCAACTTAAGGGTCCATCAATAGAGCAATTGCTAAAGAAAATGTGGTAAATATATACAATGGAGTTCTGTTTAGTCATAGGGAGGAATGAGATTCTGTCATTTACAACCACATAGATTGAACTGGACATCATTAATATTAAGCAAAAAAAGTCAGGCACAGAAAGACAAACATCCCATGTTCTCACTTATTTGTGGGATCAAAATATCAAAACAATTGAACTCATGGACCTAGAAAGTAGAAGGATGGTTACCAGAGGCTGGAAAGGGAAGTGGGTGCGGAGGTGGGAAAGGTTAATGGGTACCTCCCCAAAAATAGTTAGAAAGAATTAATAAGATCTACTATTTATAGCACAACAAGGTGAATATAGTCAGTAATAATGTAACTGTGCATTCTAAAATAACTAAAAGAGTATAATTAGATTGTAACAGAAAGATAAATGTTTGAGGGGATAGACATCCCATTCTCCATGATGTAATCATTATGCATTGCATGCCTGTATCAAAATATTTTATATACCCCAGCCGGGTGCGGTGGCTCACATCTGTAATCCCAGCACTTTGGAAGGCTGAGAGGGGTGGATGACGAGGTCAGGAGTTCAAGAGCAGCCTAGCCAAGAGGCTGAAACCCCATCTCTACTAAAAATACAAAAATTAGCCAGGCGTGGTGGCACACACCTGTATTTGGGAGGCTGAGGCAAGAGAATTGCTTGAACCTGGGCAGTGCCAGAGGTTGCAGTGAGCCGAGATCATGCCACTGAATTCCAGCCTGTGTGACAGAACAAGACTCTGTCTCAAAAAAAAAAAAAAAAAAAATATATATATATACACACACACACATACACACACACGCATATATATACACATATATATATACCCCATGCATATATATATACATATGTAACTACTATGTTCCTACAAAAATTAAAAATTAAAAAAAGAATTCAAGGAGTCCACTAAATTTGACAATAAAAAAGGAAATCTCAGAACTTCGTAGAGAAATATCAAAACATTGCAAAGAGAAAACCAACAAAAAAGCCACCATTTTATTGGCTAAAAAAATCGCTTCCCACATCAGTTTAATAATTCTTTTAAGAATCTGTGTTGTGAAAAGAGCTCACAAGGCAGTTAGGAAGAAGTGGTATTTGATTGTAAAAGAACAGTATGCAGAAGCTGCTTGTCTGTGGGTGATTGATGCTTTGTATTTTTTAAATGTAGTTTCGTTGTAATTTTAGGTAAAGAAGATGTAATTCATGTTTAAATCTCAATTAGCTGCAAATCAAAAGGTGGAAATATTAAGTACTATGTCTGTAGAAGCAAATACCAACATCTAAGACCAAAAAAGAGTCATTAATATTATTTATTAGTAGTGTTATACGAAAAGTGGATTCAGTGATTTTTTTATGGAGACTAGAGAGGATGAGGAGGATGATTCAAGAAGCTGAATTAACTAACCTTCGTGTTTCTCTCACAATTTTAAGACAAGATGAAGCAGTACAAAAAAACTGCCCCCGGAAAATCACAGTCCCATTGAAGCTTGAAGTTTTTAGACTCTTGTGAGAATGCTAACTAAAGCAAGCATTTAGAGGTATAGACTGCCTCCCAGAATCTAGAGAGATATGTCATCCCTTAGAGAGCCAGCAAATCAACTTGGGGCAATTAATATTTTTAAATATTATATTCACAGAAAATATGTGTGTTTTCATGTTATATCCCCAAAATGAAAGACTCTCTCTCTCTTCAAATATATATATGTATGCTTATATGTGTATATATATATGTGCTTATATACATATATGCTTATGCTTATATATAGGCATAAATTCTTAATCATGCTGAATCACAGAAGCCCTCAACTCAACTTATCTGAAATGTTGTAGTTAATTTTTTGATGATGACTAACCCTAGGTCCAAGTCTCTAGTAGACACTTGTTGCTTCTTCCAAGGGAATAAATGATGAATTTCCTTAGCATTAAATTACATATGTAGATATAATATTTATTTCTCATAGTGCACCATTGGAGTAAAAACAAAAATAAAAACCAAAAAATAAAATAAAAAGAGAGAGAGATAAAGAGATGGAGAGAGAGAGAGAGGCTGGTGGGGGATTTATTAGCAAGAGTTTATACCGTAACCAAGAGCAGCTATTTTGAGAATGCAACATTTTTTTTCAAGTATTTTTATGTAGGAGCATCACTCTGATTCATACCTCTGTCATGGTGAAAGAAGGTGACCTGAAGGCATATTTGTGATGCATTTGGCTATCATAATTTGGAGCATGTTTGCCTGGTATGCAGTAATGATACATAGTTACAGTTACTTAGAGTTCCTTAGAGATCCCACTGTAGAAAATGGATATCATTTGAATCTTGGATGCAGTCATCCAATTTTTCTATTGTTCATTAAGCAGCATTGGTGGTGAGTTATGTGGAGAAATTCTATAAATATTAATATCTTATGTCATTACAAGTAGTAGTTTCCAGCTTATTATTCTCAAGTATTTTCTAAAAATTGAATTCTAGGAAAGTTAAAATATTGTTTAAGTATAAGAATGTATTGTAGAAACAAATTAAGTTGAATGATCATTGCCAGTGACAACAGAAGCTTCCTTACAGTTAATTGCATTTTTTAGCCTTTTCTTCAATTAAGTTCTTGCTGAATATACTTCATAGTGTAGTAAAATACTGTAACTTTTAAAGTCAGACTTGAATTCAAGAACTGAGTCTCCAATTTAACAGTTTGGTTTTATTAGGCAATTATATGATTTCCTTAAACCTCAGTTTCTTCAGTTGTAAAATGTGAACATCGGTTTTTTAGAATTTGTTTTGAAGATTAAGTGATAACACATATTAAGCATAAAGCACAGAGAAAGTACTAATACTCTACTCCTTAAGTCAGTTTAAAACTCACTAATCAAAAGGAGAGAAACCTTTCGTCATCTGCTTATTCGAAATGTGAATTTTCTGAAGTAGCCAGATCCCTGTGGCTGAGATAGAAATTTGCAGTATTTCTTCCCTCAACATGTGGGGCAAAAGAGGAAAATTGGGATAGAGGAAAGTAGGATGACAGAAGTGCTGCCATTCAATGGTGACTGCCTGTCCTACCTGGTCATAACTTTCTTTCTGGCTGAGAGACTCAGATCTCTAAGGCCTGTAATAAATAAGGTTTACTATTTTGTCAAAATGTTTTCCTATGTTTCCTGTATTATCATTTTATAAATTATTGTGTATACAGTGTGCACAATATATATTGCAATATGCACCAATATATTGCAACAGCTAGCATGACACAAATACAATATAGTCATGTGTTGCTTAACTACAGGGATACTTTCTGAGAAATGCATTTCATCTTTGTTCAAACATCTTAGAGTGTACTTACACAAACCTCAATGATATGGCCTACTACACACCTATGCTATATGGTGTGAACTATTGTTCATAGGCTGCAAACCTGTGAAGCCAGATACTGTACTGAATACTGTAGGCAACTGTAACACAATGGTACCTATGTGTGTATCTACACATAGATATGCCAAGTATGTGGCATCTTGTCTTTCTCTCTCTCACACACACACAGTTGTATGAAAACATAGCACATCCGAACACAATAAAATTTTTCTAATATGTTGTCTTTGTCTTTCAAACTTATGAATTCTTTATTTCTACATGAATTTAGCATTTGTTTCCTGAGCTAAAAGCAAGTAGATCCAAATAAAGAGATACTTGTTTTTCAAACACCTTACTACAGTCTGCCTAAGAATATATTATTATTGTATTTTTAAAATCTCATACTTCTTTGGACCCTACTTTAATTTTTCTGTTACCTGTTTTCAGTAAAAATATAGTATTATAATATTTTGGGACCATCACATATGTGGTCCATTGTTGACTGAAATATTATTATTCTGTGCATGACTGTACAGATACGGTATACTCATAACGTCTGTTTATAAAGAGTAGCAAATAATTTACTCTTTTCTGAGTTCCTAGTATCTACCAACAAACTTAGAAACAATTATTGATTTTAATACTCTCCCAAATCCTATCAAGTTAGTCTGCTTAAAAATTACTTCATTCATTCAAAGTTTTTAAAAAAATTAACCTAATCTGTTGCAGTTAAGTACAGTACTTAAACAACTTCTCAATTTTATAGCTTAATTTGAACTATTCATATGATGGAAGTAACAAGTTACAGGGCTCTGTGAGGATCAAATGGATCATTGCTTTTAAAAATCACAGAGAGTATTGACATGAAGCAGTGACTCAATAGTAGTCTGCAACTAGTATTATTTATAATAACTAATAGTAACTACTATTAATTACTATTACCCTGTAGTTATGAATACTAACAGTATTCATATTGTAAATATATTTTATTATATATTTTAATTCTTTTTTTGTAAAATATTAAATATTCTATTATCTCCTCTAGGATTATTAAAAAATATTATGTGCTCTAGATGAATTATCTTCATGTAGTAGTTAAATGTGGTTATACATTCCAACCTAGATTTTAAGCTTAAACTTTGTGCCTTTGTGATAGATGGTATATGACATTTCTAATTGATTTCTAGAGAAATTATTCAATTTTTAATTTATTCTTATCATATAATAATAGATTATTATTTCACAAATTATATCCTAGAGTAAATAACTTCTAGATAGATGAAAACAATTGTAAATTAAAATTATCAAATTTTCACTAAATTCTTATCTACCTGATTTATTCAAAGGGCATGTAGGCTAGGGTTTCTGGTAACCAAATCTACATTTATCTCCATATTTAGCCCAGACACTCTCATTATAATTTTGTCTTACTTTTTAGTGTCAAACAATGTGCAACAATCCGGGGACATTTAACACAGATGCATTTGGACCCACTGCTCACTCATAATGAGAACTTCTAAAACTTTATCAAATTCATTTATCAAATCAAATATTTTTTATTGAGTTTTTAGGGTTTTTTAGGTATAAGAACATATCATCAGAGAAAAGAGATAAATTAATTGCTTTTCCAATTTGGATGCCTTTAATTTTCTTGCCAGATTGCTCTGGCTAAGCTTCAAGCACTGTATTAAATAGGAGTGGTGAAAGTGAGCATCCTCATTTTGTTCTAGTTCTTAGGGGATTAAAATTTAGTTGTATTTTTTTAAGCTTACTTTTGAGATTTCTTTGTCTTTCTAAGCTCCAGTTTGCTTCAACTATTTTTTATAATAATAATATATATTGACACTGAAAAAATGCCTTTTGTTTAGCACCTAATAATATTTCATGCAAAATTCTCTAAAGATTTTTAAGACCTTTGTAGATTATGTAGGTTTTTCACTAATTCAAGTCCATTTATGACAAAATATACCAGTGTCTTTGCCTTAGTACATTTCCTATCACACTGTAACATTCTTTTTGAAAAATATATTTTATAAAAATACTGTGTGGCATCTTCTTAGTTCTTAATTATGTTTTTAAAACTTCCAGGTGTTGCCTTAGATTTTCATTAAAAAATGATTATTTTAATGTTATGTTAATTTCTGTGTTGCTAAGATATTATTTTTTATTAGTCTGAACTAAAATTAGAGTTCCAAATCTTATTCTTTAGCTTGATATCCTTTTAAAACTATATGGAATAATAATTTAATATGTATATTAAATGAATATAAATATTTCATGTGTACAGATAATAGAAAATAAAGATTAAATTAAAAAGTTAGATCATGTGCTTGATTATTCAGAATCATTTTAAGAAGAGTTATCAAATGATAAAAACAGAATATCAGGAATTAACTAGCCATTTTTTATAATGTTCATTCTCACTTTTTTTTTAACCTTTGCTTGTTACAGAAGCAATTTGCTTCTGTTCATCTATATTCCTATGTATCTTACATCAATAATTCTTGTTTCTTTTTTAAATAATTTCAACTTTTTTTTAGATTCAGAGGGTACATGTGCAGATCTTTCTCTCTCTCTCTCTTTCTCTCTCTTTCATTCTTTCTTTTTTTGATTTTTACTGGCATGTTCTTGCTATGTTGGCCAGGTTGGTCTTGAAATCTTGGCCTCCCAAAGTCCCAAAATGCTAGAAATACAGATGTGAGCCACAGCACCCAGCCTGCAGGTTTGTTACATGGGTATATTGTATGTCAGTGAGGTTTGGGGTATGAATGATGCAATCACCCAGTATAGTACCCAATAGGTAGTTTTTTTTTTAGTTCTTGATCCTGTCTCTCCTCTCTCTAGTAGTCTCCAGTGTCTGTTTATTCCATCTTTATGTCTATGTGTACCGAATGTTTAGCATCCATTTATAAGTGAGAATATGTAGCATTTGATTCTTTCTTTCTGTGCTAATTTGCTTAGGATAATGACCTCAAGCTGCATCCATGTTGCTGCAAAGTACATGATTTCCTTCTTATGGCTGTATAGTACTCCATGATGTATATATATAACATTGGTCCAAAAGTAGTTGTGGTTTTGTAATTTAAAAGAAATAGCAAAAAATGCAATTACTTTTGCACCAACCTAATGTATATATTACGTTTTTTCCAAGATATGATTAATATATTTTCCAATATATTATATTACATATTCTTTTATAATATGTATGTATTAGATTTTCCTTTTTCTAATCCACTATTTATGGGCACCTAGGTTGATTTTATGCCTTTGCTATGGTTAATAAAGCTGCAATGAACATATACGTGATGTGTCTTTTCGTTAAAATGATTTCTTTCCTTTGTGTGTATACCCACTAATAGGATGGCTGGGTAGAGTGGTAGTTCTATTTTAAGTTCCCTGAGAAATATCCTAACTGCTTCCCTTGTGGCTGAACTAATTTATATTTCAATCAACAGTGTATAAGCATTCCTTTTTATTGGCAGCCTTGCCAGAATCTGCTATTTTTTGACTTTTTATTAATAGCCATACTGACTTGTGTGAGATAGTATCTCCTTGTGGTTTTTAATATTTAAGGTCTTATATTTAAATCTTTCACCCATAGTATCTCATTGTGGTTTTGATATACCTTTCTCTGATGATTACTGATGATGAGCATGTTTTCATATGTTTGAGAAGAGTTTGTTCATATAATTTGTCCATATAAAGAGGTTGTTTGTGTTTTGCCTGTTGAATTGCTTAAGTTCCTTGTAGATTCTGGATATTAGACTTTTTTTGGATGCATAGTTTGTGAACATTTTCTCCCATTCTGTAGGTTGTCTGTTTACTCTGTTGGTGTTTCCTTATACTGTGTAGAAGCTCTTTAGTTAAGTTAGGTTTCACTTGTCATTTTTGTTTTTTTCTTTTTCTTGAAATTGCTTTTGAGGACTTAGTCATAAATTATTTGCCAATGCTGATGTCCAGAAGGGTATTACCTAAGTTTTTTTCTAGGATTTTTAATGTATAACGTGGTATTTAAATCTTTTACCCATATTACACTTGTATGTGGTGAAACAAAGGGGTCCAGTTTCATTCTTCTGTATATGGCTGGTCAGTTACCCCAGCAACATTTATTGAACAGGAGTCTTTTCTCTATTGTTTATTTTTGTCAATTTTGTCAAACATCAGAGGGTTGTAGGTGTGTGGCTTTATTTATGTGTTTTTTATTCTGTTCCCTTTCTGTATGTTTCTGCTTTTATACCAGTACAATGCAGTTTTGGTTACTGTACCCTTACAGAAAGTCAGTAATGTGATGTCTCTGGCTTTGTTCCTTTTGCCTAGAATTGTTTTGGCCAGTCGGGCTCTTTTTGGTTCTATATGAACTTTAGAATAGTTTTTTTTTTTTTCTAATTCTGTGAAAAATGACATTGGTAGTTTTATAGGAGTACTGTGGAAGATGTAGATTGCTTTGGGCAGAATGGCCATTTTAATGATACAATAGTTATTTTTAATGCCTTCCTTTCTTTCTCAGATCCAATCAGTTACCAAGATCTGTGCAATCTTCAGTTATATATATTTTATGTAGACCCTTTCACTTTTCATTCGTAGTATTCATATCCTGGTCTAGGTACTCATGACTTTCTGGACTGCCAAAAAAGCCTTCTAATACATCTCTCCAAGGCTGCTTTGTTTTTCCTCCTCTACTCTGTCCTGCATAACAGCATCAGATTGATATTCCAGGAACACTACTTTGATCATAGCACTTCCTAATTTCTTCCACAGCACCATCACTGACTTTCTGAGAAAAATCAAATAATTTCAGGTAGCGTCCAAGACCCTCTTTCCAGACTTTTTGCTATCCTATATTCAACTATAGCAAATCTGGTGCATTTTTACTTCTCCAAATGCAGCTGTTGGTTTTCTGTCTCCTAATGTTTATTCCCTTCCTTCCTTCCTTCCTTCCTTCCTTCCTTCCTTCCTTCCTTCCTTCCTTCCTTCCTTCCTTCCTTCCTTCCTTCCCTGCCTCCCTCCCTCCCTCCCTCCCTTCCTTCCTTCCTTCCTTTCTTTTTATTGAGACGGAGTCTCGCTCTGTCACCCAGGCTGGAGTGCAGTGGCACGATCTCGGCTCACTGCAAGCTCCGCCTTCCAGGTTCACGCCATTCTCCTGTCTCAGCCTCCCGAGTAGCTGGGACTACATGTGCCCGCTGCCACGCCCGGCTAATTTTTTTGTATTTTCGGTAGAGACGGGGTTTCACCATCTTAGCCAGGATGGTCTAGATCTTCTGACTTCGTGATCCGCCTGCCTCGGCCTCCCAAAGTGCTGGGATTAGAGGCGTGAGCCACCGCGCCTGGCCTACTAATGTTTATTCTTATTATTTTCTTCTCATAGAATGCCATGTATCACTAACACCAACTACCCAGTTATTATAACACCTACAACAGATGCCAACAAATTTTTGAATTTGTCTGGATATCCACAACTCATATATCATTGTTGTTTGAGTAATTATTTTTTAATATTTAAATCTTGCCTTATGATATGTGAGGAATTACATATTTTATCTATCCTACAAAATTTTAAGAGGTAGGAACGGTTTTATGTATATGTATAAATATACCTCAGTACTAATACTACCATATAATTACTTTATATATACTACCAATACTACCCATATAATTACTTTAAAAACTCATTGGATAATTGACCAAAAAACAGATAAGTTATTAAGGCCAAGTAATCAAGAAAGAGAAAATGAGAAGTTATCTACTAAATTTATTGGGAATTATTTTAAAACTATATATATAGTTTTATATATTTTTTATATATATTTATATATTTTATATATTTTATATATATATATAAAATACTGTTGCTACCAAAAAAATAATAAATGACAAAATCTCCAACGCATAAGGAAGAGTAAGCTATTTGTCACACATTTATTTTCAATTAAAATAATGGAATCTCACATACAGATATATCTGTTATAGTGTCATATTGCACTTTAGTACACATTACCTCATTTTGTCTTCACAGACGCACATGTAGAATGCCTTTCTACTGTTGTTATCCTGATGAAGAAAAGATAGTTTAAGGAGTTAAATAACTAATAAGAGTTTTAGAGCTAATAAGAAATAGAGTCTGTATTTGGAAACAAACAAAAACTTTATCTGTGATTACAAGACTCCTGCTGTTTCTCCTGCACCATAATAACTTGTTGTTTTATCCATGAAGTTCCTCATGCTTAATAACTTTCTTATGCTCAACCAGTTGTTACAGGATGATGTATTGATACTAGAGCGCAGACTTTATTGTTTAGCTATTGTTTTCATTATGTCACTCATTTAAAAAATAATGGTATTTATGATGTAAATAAGATAGGAAGAAGAGGAAGTAAAGAGACAAACATAAAATAATCTGCACAATTATTATATATACAAATCCTCACAAACATAGGCCAATGTGTATTGGGTGTATGTAAAGTTGCAGAGTTAACATTTCTGTAAGTAATATCCTTTAGAGCAAGATTTGAACTTTTAAAATCACATCTGATATAACTTTCTTGACTCTCAATGTAAACAGTGGAATAATAGCATTATCTCCAACAGGAGCTAAAGAAATATTTATATTTTTTGATGTAGTATGAAATAAGATCTACTAGTGTTGATTGCTCACTACCATTCAAGTTCATTAAGTATGGCTCTTCAAAATATTCAATCTTCTAACAAAATATTCACTACACTAACAAAAAATAAGATAAAAATAACGACATGCTGTATTTTTGATTGATTTGTTTTTAACCCTTAAACTATCTGTAAATTTTCAAAAACACTTCAACGGATTAATCATGGAGTATAGAAAAAGAGGAGTGTGCATTAGAATTTGTGGCAAAAGTTATTACACAAGTCATCTAATTTTTTATTACAGTTCTGTATATACTACTATTTAGAGATTGAGATTAGTCATATGTGCTGCATACTTTGTTTGTTTTAACAGTTCATATATTTATATAATTTAGTCTCATTTTAAAAACCTATTCTGCCATGTTAACATAACTTCTTCAGCCACTGGATTTTCTTTAAATGGAACCAGAACTTGAAGTGGTTTTCATTTAAGGATGATATACTTAAATACTTAATTGTACACTTCTCTAATCAAACTTTTTACCCTGATTTTCATAATCTAACTCTTATTATCTTCCTTTCGTCCTGTTACTATCACTCAGAGGCATTTAACTTCAGCGAGGAAAACCTTGTTTTATTTCTTGAGCATAAAAGCTTTTTATTGCAAATGTTTAGATAAACTGTTTTCTTTTTCTGGAATGATCTTACCCTCAATACCTTAGATAGTGGGATCCTTCTCACTTTTGAAGTTTCAGATTAAGTATCATCTCCTCCGAATATAGTTCCTTAGTATTTCAGTAGACTGTAAAACAAACAACAAAAAACACACAAACAAAATACCTCATTGCCCTCAATCATGAATTTTTGTCCCTTTCTCATCAGTATCCATATTTTTAATTCAAAAGTTATTTTCTTTTTTATTTCAGTTACTGCAATTTTGAAAAACAACTGGAAAAATATAAGTACCCAATTTCTTATTTTGAGGTCTGGAAAAAAATCAATACATTAAAAGACATACTGAATCAAAAGTAGGATTTAAGATGACTGAGAGAATTGGTATTGAAGACATAACTATACATAGATGTGTTGACATTATTTTTGTATATTTATTATTGTCAATTCAGTGACTGATAGAAAGATGCACAATACTATGTAACAAACTTGCTCCTACCCCTTGGAAACAGATCATCTAAATTTGCTGATTTGGGTTTATTCAAATATTCAAGAATCCCTGTCAGGTTTGGTCAATAGCATTTTTGCAAAGACATCATTATTTTCTAAATTTCTATCATTTTTCTAATTTAAAAATTATTTGTACAAGTAGTTTCAACAACTCAGCCATTTTGAACTTACTAATTTTAAGCTTGTCCTTATTAATTAGTAGCCTATTTTTGCATCATTGCTTATCTCCTGATAAATTCAAAGCAATCACAATTTTAAAGCCATTGTACCAGTATAAGCTTTTTGCCCCTTTTATTTATTTTATCCATGGAAGCTTTTCTATTTTCTACTATTCTTTTCTATTTTCTATTACTATACCGTTTTCACCCTTAAACATATAGAAAAGTTCCTAGTAATAACATCTCCTTATTTACAGCAGTATGTTAGTAGCAATCACAAAAAGGGGGGATGAGAGGTTTTGTATTCTTTTTAAAGACAATTAATTAATATTTAGAAGTTATCTTCACGGATTTACCGATCTGATAATTTGCTAAACCCAAAATTCCAACAAGTAACAGGAAAGAAAGAAAAAAATGATTACAAAATATCAGGAATGAAAAATAATTTTATGTCTAATTTAAGGTTATTAGTTCAACCTATATTGACTAAACAGCTAGACAAACAAATAAATAATTGTTGACTGTCTGGCACTTTCTTCCAAGAATCTACAAATTACTGCATCCAGAGGAACTGGCTACAATATACCCTATATGCCCATTTTATAATGCATGGTCCCCTTAGGTCCTGCTTAACTTTAAGTTTGGCTTCTGGCCAATGTGAAATAAACTAAGGGAACATGTCTCAAATATTTAATTACTGTTATATGGGATTGTTATGCCCCTGCTCACATTATTGTGTTTTTTTATTTTCTAATTTTTCATAATATTTTACGAATGTTTGTTGTTGTTTTTAAGGAAAAAAATATTAGAAACTCTGATACTTAGTACTGCCTTCTGTTATGAATATTTTCATTACCCAGGCTTAATAAAGCAGTAGCAAATAGTTTTTAGAATTTCTACATTACATGTTTTAATTTGTTTTCTTTCTTCCTTTCCATCATTTTTTTCTCTCTTTAAGAAATATAGTCTCAGCCGGGCATGGTGGCTCATGCTTGTAATTCCAGCACTTTGGGAGGCTGAGGCGGGCGGATCACGAGGTCAGGAGTTTGAGACCAGCCTGGCCAACACAGTGAAACCTCGTCTAATAAAAATACAAAAATTAGCTGGGCGTGGTGGCAAGCGCCTGTAATCCCTGCTACTTGGGAGGCTGAGACAGAAGAATCGCTTGAACTCGGGAGGTGGAGGTTGCAGTGAGCCAAGATTGCACTCCAGCCTGGGCAACAGAGCTAGACTCCGTTTCAAAAAGAATAAAAAGGAAAATAAATAAATAAATAAATAAAATAAAAAGAAATATAGTCTCAATGTATTGCCCAGGCTGGAGTGTAGTGCTGAGATGATTATAGTTCACTGCAGCTTCGAACTCCTAGGTTTAAGCTATCCACCTGACTCAGCTACCCCAGTAGCTGGGATTACAGGCATGAACCACCACACCCAGCCTTGTATATTTTAATTTCATAAATTTATCACTGAACTTACTACTATGTAACATCAGACCAGTCTCTGAATATGAAAACTGTCTTATTCAATGCTTTTGAGTTCTGTGATCTAACAGATTTAATTTTAATTTATCACTACTGTGCCTTCTTAATAATTGTCATTCACATACTTCTAAGGAATATCTACTATAAAATATACTTATGATAACATTTTATATTTTTGCTTTATACATATGTACTTTTTTGCTTTCATTTAACATTAATCAAGCTGACTTTTTTGGAGAATTGTGTAGTTGCATGAGTTATAACCATGCATAGATTTGTTTAACCACCACCATGATCAGAATATGGAACAGTTCTGTCACCCTAGAAAACTCCTCATAGCACCCTTTTGTAGTCCCATTATCTTCCACCACTGGCAACCACTGTGCTTTTTCTGTCTGTGTTTGTTTTTCTTGTCAAGAGTGTTGTGTAAATGGAATTACAACCTTTTGAATCTGATTTCTTTCACTCAAAGTGCCTGTGGGCTCAGGGGTTAGGTAGAGTTCTTAGACATGACACTGAACGTACAATCTATTTAAAAAATGAGAAATGCTATTTAAAAAAACTTAACAATTTGCTGTGTGGAAAACACCGTTAAAAGACTAGAAAAGTTAAGCTACAGAAGAATAATTACTTTCAAATCATATATCTGGCAAACAAATTGTTTCCAGAATGTTTTAAAAACACTTTTGAAATTTGTAGAAAGAGGTTTTTATCTTTAAAAAAATGGAAATAATCAATGCTGATGAGGATGTGGAGAAAAAGGAAGACTTTTTCTCACTGTTGGTGAGAATGTAAATTAGTATGATTGCTGTGGATAACAGTATGGGGGTTCCTCAAAGAAACAAAAATTGAACTACCATATGATGTTTCAGCTCCACTGTTAGGTCAATAACCACCCTCACCAAACAAAATGAGTATATCAAAGTGATGTTTGAGCTCTCATGTTTATTGAAGCACTATTGATAATAGTCAAGATTTTGAATCAAACTAAGTATCCTTCAAGGGATAAATACATAAAGAAAATGTGGTGCGTACACCCAGTGGAACATGGTTCAGTGATTTTAAAAAAAAGAATTAAATCTGTCATTTGCAGCAACATGGATGGACTGGAGGACATTATTTTAAGTAAAATATGCCAGGCACAGAAAGACAAATATGGCATGTTTTCACTTATGAGTGGGAGCTGAAATTAAAACAATTGATGTCATTGAGCTAGAGAATATAATTATGGTTACCAGAGGCTGAGAAGGGTAGCAAGGAGGTGAGATATGGTGAGGATGATTAATGGGTGTAAAAATATAGGTAGATAGAATGAATAAGATCTAGTAGCTGTTAGGACAACAGGGCACCTACAGTCAACAATAATTTATTGTATATTTAAAAATAATTAGAAGAGTGGAATTGGAATGCTTCTAACCACAAAGAAATGATAAGTGCTTGAGGTGATGGGTACCTCATTTATCCTGATTTGATTATTATACACTTTATGTTTGTATCAAAATATCACATGAACTCTATAAATATATACACCTATTATGTACCCTTGATAACTAAAAAAATAAACAAAAGTAAAAACAAAGACTTTGTAGTAAGAAATATACAACTCCTTTTAAAAAATGAGCAAAAGTCCCTGAGAAAATAGTTATTAAACATTTCATAAGCCAATGTTAGAAAGCAATATGCAATGTGCATGTTGAAGATTTTTTTTCTCCCGTTTTTCAAGTTCAGGTGTAAACTTCCCTAATAGATGTCTCTGCTTGCCTGCCTGCTGACTGCCTGCCTTCTTTCTTTTCTTTTCTTTTCTTTCTTTTTCTTTCTTTCTTTTTCTTTCTTTTTATTATTTCTTTCTTTCTTTCTTTCTTTCTTCTTTCTTTTTCTTTTTCTTTTCTTTTCTTTTCTTTTCTTTTGTTTTCTTTCATTTTATGTTTTCAGACAGGTCTCATTCTGTCACCCAGGCTAGAGTGCAGTGGTGTAATTCCGGTTCACTGTAACCTCAATCTCCTGGGCACAGGTGATCCTCCCACCTCAGCATTCCAAGTAGCTGGGACTACAGGTGCATGCCACCATACCCAGCTAATTTGTGTATTTTTTTTAGAAATGGGGTTTCTCCAGTTTGCCCAGGCTGGTCTTGAACTCCTGGGATCAAGTGATGCACTCACCTCAGCCTCCTAAAGTGCTAGGATTAGAGGGATGAGCCACTGCATCCAGCCTCTATTTGACTTTTCTTGATCCATCAAGTAGAGCTCTTCATTACTTTTCTGAAGCCATATTAGAGACTTCATAGGTGAGACAAATGTTACATTCCCTTTGCAGATTTCTGAAAACGAAGTGACTATATTTGTTAAATTAAATTAAATGAACAAGCACACAGATGGGATGTAAAAGATCTATATTCAACAAAAAAAAATCATAAAAGCTAGTAAACTGTTGTACTATTTCCAGGTATATTGTCTCTTTTAATTTCTTCAATAAATCTTAATTTACAGCTATTTTGATCATTCTTTTATTTTAAAAATTATAAATACTTCTTACTAGAAAACCTAATATTAACTTCAATAATTGTATAAGGAGATATATTAGTTTGGTTAGTTTGGTAGGAATCCTATAACAAAATATCAAACACTGGGTGGCTTAAACAACAGAAATTTATTTTCTCCCAGTTGTAGAGGCTGGATGTCCAAGATCAAGGTACTTGCACGGTTGGGTGTTCTCTGAGGCATCTTTCTTTGACTTGGAAATGTTTTCCCTCTTGTTTCCTCCTCATGTGGTCATGTCTATCTCCAGAGTCACATTCTGAGGTACTCGGGGTTAGAGCTTTAATGTATGGATTTTTATGGGGGAAGCAATTTAGCCCATAACAGGAAAAATAACATCTAGGTAGGTGTTATTGTTCATAACAAAATTTTGAAATATTCGTTTTATATTTGACCATATCCATTAAGAAAATTAGTTCATGCAATCTACCTACTATGGCAACCCAGCATCATATAAGGATGTTTAACCTTGGCATTAGTTGATTGCATATATGATATAAAATTAATCTTACTTTTTACCATAAAAGTATATATATTAAATTAAAATCCAGATACAATTTTACATAACTATTAAACATTGGCAACTTGGCATATCAATCAAAACACTTTAACATTCTACCATTTCTTTCAAATCCTAATGACATGAATGATTAAGAACTCACTCTATTTAAGTGAATTTTTAAAAATAAAATAGAAATGTATTTAATAACCAGTTTATATTTCAAATTAAGTTATCAGTCTTTTATAAACTGTTTCAAAAGATCATTTTCTCTTGAGTATATTAATTTTAGAAAATATTGTTGATAAAGTTTAAAGTGAAAGATGAACTAGATCAATCTACCCTACTTAGTGTGAAAAATTAGTAGTCCATAGTTTTTTTTCATAATTTTTTTTTTGCAAATACTAATCTGCATGTCCATGGCTAAGAGCCTAGAATTGTAATTCCTCATTTGCATTAATGTCTTAGGATGGATTATATTAATTCTGGCTCTAGTACAGTAGCAAAATTAATTATAATATATGTACATCGAACATTATAATGAACTCACAACTGACTCTTTCTAAACTAACCCATTGTCAAGTAATGAGGTTATCATCAGTCAAACAAAATTTAAGCAAATTTTTGTAAAGGTGAGAATCCAATGTATGTATGTCTATAAACCATTTACATCTACATGGTTCTTTGGGCCTTGGCTAGATATGACCACAGAAATACCCTAAACTGACATAAATGGAGTACTCTGAGGCCTGGCAAAGCAGGCACAAGTAAGGAGACGTTGCCTCCTTAGAAGCGCAGTAAACAGTGTAAGACCTCAGACCTAGACATTTTTTAGCAAATCAAAGAATAAGCAAACCTGAAGAGTCTAAACCATCATTTTTGACTCTGGACCAGCCTCCATGGTTTGGTTTCTCAAAAGAAGTAGTTTCCAAATTGTTGTGCAGAAAAGCATCGCTCAAAAGGAGAGTGCCTTCTTTGCTAAGGTTGCTGAAATTTGTTGTGTAGGGTCCAAAGAGGAGAGGATGGCAGAGAAAGAGCCCTAATAATCTGCTTAGAAGTTCTTCCAAGTGGTGTTCTCAACTGCACATCTCCCAGGACAGACTGCACATGTTCAAGGACAGGCTCAAGGAAGAATAACAAAGAACAGCCACTGTTGGGTGAGGAATGAACAAAGATTTCAGAGGTGTCCAGTGTTAAAGAGTCACTGATGTTCTGACATAGCTAGAGTGGATAATTTTCCAAAATAATTTATGATTTAAAACACTATCTCATAATTACTTTTTCAGTAAAGTCAACAACAGCAAAATACATCTTAGAAAAATTAGATAACTTTAGATATTAACTGGATATTACCTATAAAGGAATCACTTTTAATGATGTTAGGTGGGATAACACTACTGTGGTTAACAAAATTTCCTTTTTATTGGGTTACATACAGAAGTACCAACTGAAATGTTTAAGAAATGAGCTGTTTCTATATTTCATATAGTTCATGGGCCAAGCATATAATTGAGAGATAACATTGGTAGTAAAATAATAATTCAGGGAATATTTATATGACTCAACATCCCAAATTTTCAGAAGCATATTAAAGGTAGAGAAATGTTCACTGAATTTGACATCTTACTTGTGCACCTGCTAGTGCAGAAAGAAAAATGTTCCTTTTGTCTACAAGCTGTTGATCCTAGAGAAATGAACTGTCAGCAGCAGAGAAATCTGTAAGCCAAATATAAATAATAAAATGGAGTGATTCAGAAAGTTATTTATTACAGTGCAGGCTACTTTTGAAAAATTAATATTATATTGATAGGTAAAATAAATTGTCAACCTAACTAAAATAAGTATGCAGTTGTATAGTGAAACATTAATTGTAATTATTTGTATTCTATAAACAGGATTTTAAAATATATTCAATTTTGCAACAATTCAACATTTCCCAGGAAGAGAAATAATTCCATATTGGTCATGTTTATGTGCCTCTTATACTTTTCAATTGTACTACAAAATAGGCAATTGAGCATGTGCCTGTAGGATTTAGGTCAGGGGACAAGCAGCAATACTGACTGATTACATTGGTGGCCCAGGAGTGTGAGAATTTTAATTTGGTAATTTTTTTTCCCAGAATCTTCATTTAGTCACCTCCTAGTAGAGAAAAAGAAAAACCATATTCTTTTGTATATTGTGAAACCTCCATTCTGAGCATATAAAAGAAAAGGCTCTGTGTTAACAGCAGATTACTGAAAATAACTGTGTTAACAGCAGATTACTACACCTGCTATTTACTGTGCTATCTTTTCCTTAAATATTTTATTTTGTAGTAATTATGCCTTCACAGAAAGTTGCAAATATAGTTTAGAGAGGACCAATGCATGTCACCAGTTTTTCTCAGTGGTTACATCTTAGATGATTATGATACAGTGTCAAAAGGAGGAAATTGACATTGATACAATATGTGTGTATAGTTTTCAATCAGTTTGAGATCTTCCTGTTTCCAGGCATGAGGAGTGATTTTTAATTGAAAGCTGTACATTTAGGATATTATGTTATGAGTTTCTGGTTTTTATTTACATCTTCTGTTTTAGCTTCGTTTCTCTAACACATTTTTAGCAAGAGAAGCAGAGGATGTCACCTTATATTTTCCAGCTGGATATAGAATTCTAGGGTCCCCACAAGGACTTCATTGATACCTAAAATGGGGTGGCCTTTTGCTGCTGAACAAGGGTAAGATTTGCAGCTTTCTACTAGGCCTCCACTGATAACCTTTCTGGCTTCAAGGAATAGGATCACCTCATTAGTCACTCCGCATGGTCTCCACTGTTATCCTGAAATAGCAGCCCCATCACTGGTGGGCAGTGGTATAAGTCCATACTGTTTCCTAGGCCACTTGCGACACCATCCAGTGAAAAGGAAGAAGTGCAGGCTCCCATTGTGATCTCCATGCACATGAAAAACTCTAACTCCCTACATGGCCTTCTGTAAAACCACTGCAGTGGAGGCTGAGTGTGTGAGGAGAGATTTTGTTACGGTGGTAGATAAGGTGGAAGTCTAAGATCCTCACTCTGCCTTTACTGTATGGCTAGGGGTAGGGACCACAGTTTTTCTGTTGTGTTTGCAGTAAAGCAGTTACTTTCTAAATATTGTAGTTATTTTCCAAATATTTTTTGTTATGATAGACATATATAGACTATCTTTCCCGGTTTTTAGACTAAAAAGAGCAATATTTCTGTTATTGTTATTTATTTCTGCCGATTGCTATTTTCAGGTTGCTGGTTTCTTCAGCTGCAAATCTGGGATACATACGGCATAAATAAATTTGACAAAACTTAGTGCCCTATCACTCTTTTTGTCTAGAAGGGTCTACCCAGTCTGACTCCTTGTCTCCACCCCTCAAAATATTATTAGGTTTGTTTTACATATAACAGTAAGGATGGCTATACTTAGACCCCCAAATAAGGAAAGTAAGGTCTATTCCAGATTCCTGGAGGTGGAAGAGTCCATCTTATTATTTTTAATCATTGCTTCTTACTAAGATTAAAAGAGAGAAAACTATAGTAATATCAAGTGTTAGCTAAAATGCTGTTGAAGATCCACTTTCTCTAATTATGTGTGTCATTCAATCTATTCCAAAATTTGCAGTCTCTATTGAGAAGAGACAGAGCATGGTGATTACAACTTGAATAGTGCTTTATTTTGCTAAATTTATTTATATTAGTTTGGCTAATAAACTACAAGCCTTAATCATAAAATATTTGCTAATGGGAAATCGATGGAATCTTTTTTTAAGTAAAAACTATCTAGCTAAATGAATGGGATAACTATATTCTTGCATCTTTCTGATCTTTTCCACTGTTGATTTCGTTGTAATTTCCCTCACCTGTATCCACTGTAGTTCTTAGTACCAGAACCAGCAGTCTTCCTTCTGGTGTAAATAAGACAGTGACAATCCTAAATCTAGTGTCTACACACTATTATATCTTATTGAAAATCAAACAACCATGAATTGTAATTATCAAATTTATTTTTTATTAAATAACATTTAATTTTGAAGAAAAGTCCTCAAAAAGTTCATGGAAAGTTCATACTATGAAAAATGAAAACATCTATACCTAGATCTAAAAAACATTTTCTCAAAAAAACTCATTACAACTTGCTATAACATGTCTGAACAGGATCTATTTTGAGGCACTAAGAGGTAAAAGACATTAGTTTGAAAAGTGCTTCTTTCAGAGCAACATAAATTCTGCTAAAATGAAAGAGAGAACACACATCAAAATTATGGTGAAGCTTGGGTGGATAAATGATGAAATCACTGATGCTTTACAAAAAGTTTATGGGGACAAGTCCCCAAAGAAATCAGCCATTTGCAAATGGATAACTTGTTTTAATAAATGATGAGATGATGTTGAAGATCTAGCTTGCAGCGACAGACAACCACATCAATTTGGAAGAAAAAAAAAATCATCCTGTTTGTGCCCTAACTGAAGGGAATCAATGATTAATAGCAGAAACAATAGACAACACCATAGGTACTTCAACTGGCCCAGCTTACAGAATCCTGACTGAAAAATTAAAGTTGAGCACACTTTTAATTCAATGGGTGCCCAAACCGTTGTGCCCAGATCAGCTGCAGTCAAGAGCCCAGCTTCATATGGAAAGTTTTAATAAGGGAGACCAAGATCCTGAGGCATTGTTTTGAAGAATTGTAACAGAAGGTGAAACATGGCTTTGCCAATAGAATCCTGAAGACAAAGTGATGGCTACCAAAAGGTGAATGTGGTCCAGTCAAGCAAAAGTAGAGAAGTCAAGAGCAAAGGTCATGGCAGCAGCTTTTTGAAATGTGTAGAGGTTTTGCTTGTTGACTTTGTGAAGGGCCAAACAACAATGATATCTACTTATTATGAGAGTATGTTGAGAAAGTTAGCCAAAGCTTTAGCAGAAAAACTTCCAGGAAAGCTTCATCTAAGAGTCGTACTTTACCACAACAAAGATCCTGCTCTTTCCTCTCATCACAGAAGGGCAATTTTGTAAGTGTTTCAATGGAAAATCATTAGGCATCCACCTTACAGTCCAGATTTGTCTCTTAATTCTTTTTATTTCCCAATCTTAAAAATCTTTAATGGGCATCCATTTTTTAGTTAATAATGTAAAAATTACTGAATTGACATGATTAAATTCCCAGTATCCTCAGTTCTTTAGCAATTGATGAAAATGACTGGTTTCATTGGTTACAAAAGTGTTTTGAACTGGATGCAGTTTATATTGAGCAATAAAGTTTCTATTTTTAAATTTTTGTCATTTTATTCCATTTTTTAACAAACTTTTTGAAGTACCCTTGCATGTATCTGGGTGTATGTATGTATGTATATATGAATATATATATGCGAGTACATCTGCATTCATACCTATAGATACATGCACACCATAGGCTGAATATATGTAATGTTGTTTTCTCCAGATGGTTTCAGAACAGGGAGAACTAATATAAAAGGTATTTAAGATTTTGGAAGTGTTGAATGAAACATATTTTGTGTTTTTGAGAAATAGAGCTAAATAATAAATCTCAAGAAGAATTCAAAGTTATATTTTAACTTTAGATGAATGAACAAAGATGCAAATGTTTACTATAACTTTGAGAACACTAGCTTTGTTTGTTAGTTTAGTACTAACTTTGAGAACTAAAGTTGTCTACTATAACTTTGAGAACACTACAAATTTGAGAACAAATTGTATGCTTTGTGTATAAATATATGCTTTAATGCACATTTGAAATGTACTCTAGAAGTCTGGTTCTAGTTCAACTAAATATCATTTAAAATATAACTTTTGCACATATTATATAGTCTGTATTTTAGGCGTAAATTCAGGAGTACAAACGATGATACTGAGGCATACTGATTTCCTGCATCTTGTAAGTAAACTTTGAAGTCAATAAGCAAAATAACTAACAAAATTACTCCCTTTGTCAATCTGGGGAATATTAGTTTTACCTTCACTTCTAGAAAATGAGACCATCTCATAAACAACAAAGACAAACTTTTTTACACATAAAACACACTCATACTGGTGGGGAGAAAAATAAATCAATCTGGTACATTTGTTGATGTGTGAAAATATTTCTCTTCTCTGTATCCATCTAAATGAAAGCATGATTTAAATAGATTTTAACTGCTACACTGTCACCTATTTTTCTATACTATTTTCATTCAACAAAAGTCAAATATTAATCTGAGTTTAATATTTGCATCCACATGATTTAGATGAATCAAATATTAGAATATGTTTTTTTCCTTATGATAAATCTCACCTAGGGAATTTATGCCATTTACTTTTAACAAGTATCAGTTCACTGAAAGACATCAGCACAGAAGTACTTTTGATATTTAACTTTAAGTTTTATTATTTTTACATTTTTAAATGTTTTTATTGAACTATGCATACATAAACAAGATGCAGGTAATCAGTATGCTTCAGTATCGTTGTTTGTACTCCTGAATTTATGCCTAAAATACAGACTATATAATATGTCCAAAAGTTATATTTTAAATGATATTTAGTTGAACTAGAACTTGACTTCTTGAGTATATTTCAAATGTGAATTAAAGCATAGATTTATACACAAAGCATACAATGTGCCTAACATTAAATACACATTTAATAAGAAATAATAATAAAGATGCAGTTGACAGATCATAAGACATCATAGAGACATTGGTGACAATGTCTCTGTATTTTTGGCTTTAAATAAAAAGCAAGTTTAAAATTTATTTTCAGATATTTTCACAAGTAATGTACATTAATCAATTATTTCTTTCAACATTTATAATTCTTAGGAAGAATAAGAAGAGAAAATATTTTTAAAAATAGCATTTGTATTAAGATACAGTAAATATTTTGTTCTTGCCTGGTGGGAAGTGATTTAATCATAGGGTCAAACTTCCTCCTTGGTGTTCTTATCCTAGAGTTATCACAAGATTTGATTTGGGAGCTTCTGCCGAGATTTCAGAGAATGCATGGAAACACTTGGACATCCAGGAAGAAGTTTGCTGCAGGGGCAGAACCCTCATGGAGAACCTCTACTAGGGCAGTGCTGAGGGGAAATGTGGGATTGGATGCCCCACACAGAATCCCAACTGGGTTAGTGCCTAGTGACACTGTGAGAAGGGGGCCACCGTCCTCCAGACCCCAGAGTGGTAGATCCACCAACAGCTTGCCAAAAGCCACAGGCACTCAACGTCAGTCCTTGAGAACAGCCATGGGAACTGAGACCAGCAGAGCCACAGGGACAGGGCTGCCCACTCCTTCTGTAAGTGTGGTCTGAATGTAAGACATGGAGTCCAAAGAGAGGATGTTGGAGCCTTAAGATTCAATTACTGACTTCCTGGGTTTTAGACTTGCACGGGGCCTGTATCCCCTTTATTTGACCAATTTTTTCCTTTTGGAATGGGAGCATTTAGCCAATACCTGTACCCCCATTGTATCTTGCAGGTAACTAACTAATTTTTGATCTCACAGGCTCATAAGTAGAAGGGACTTGCCTGGTCTTAGATGAGACTTTGGACTTGATCTTTTGAGTTAATGCTGAAATGAGTTAAGACTTTGGAGGACTGTTGGGAAGGCATGATTGTGCTTTGAAATGTGAGAAGGAGATGTAATTTGGAAGGGACCAGGGGTAGAATGATATGGTTTGTCTCTGTGTCCTCATCTAAATCTTATGTTGAATTGTAATTCCCAGTGTTGGAGGAGAGGCCTGGTGAGAGGTGATTGAATCATGGGGGCAGACTTCCTTTTTGTTGTTCTCTTGATAGAGTTCTCAGGAGATTTGGTTGTTTGAAAGTGTGTAGCATCTCCCCGTTCACTCCCTCCCTCTCCTACTCCAGGCATGTAGGGCAGGCTGGCTTCCTCTTTGCTGTCTGCCATGATTCTAAGTTTCCTGAGGCCTCCCCAGCCATGCTTCCTGTACAGTCTGCAGAACGGTGAGCCAATTAAACCTCTTTTATTGATAAACCACCCAGTCTCAGGTAATTCTTTATGGCAATGTGAGAATAGACTAATTGTATAATGTATTATGGAATAGACTAATACAGGAGTGATTCATTTTATAATGTATTGTTTATGTGGAAACATGAAGCAAATGATTGAGAAAGAAAATATTTTATAATTAAGATAACTTCATTGTATAATAGAACTTGGGTCTGTAATCTGACGGATGTGATTTTATCCCAACCCTTTATCTTATATGCCGTGAAACTGTTAACAGATAACTTTTCCTTTATCAAACTATAGTATCATGTAAATTTGGAAGAATAATATCTTTTGTGGAAAACATAACATTCTTGGTATTTTGCTTTACCTACATATAAAACAACCCAAAATATTTTTGTTATTTACTATCATTACCTTTAATAGACCTATTATTATTGTAGCATTCTAATTCTGGTCTTAAATTATCTGTGGCTGTTTTTGTAATTTAGAATTAGACTGGAAAAGTCATATTATATACAAAAGAAGCTAAATCTGCATCATAGAATATATTGTTTAAAGTTATTAATATACTTCCTGTTGAAGTTATACTTTCAAGGGGTAGGAATAATATAATGCAGAATTTTTTAAAATTAAAGGAATATCTTGACTGAGAACTATAGAGATCCACAAATGCCACCAATTTTTTAGTTTATGCTATTTATCTATCTGCAACTGAAACTGAACTATTTCTACGTTTATCCAAAAGTGCTTTTATTTTTATTGTTTATTGTTATGACCTGGAGTTAGCTTCCTAGCAATGTCAAAACATTCAAAATATACATTCACTTACCTTCCCAATTAAAGTAATCAAAATAAAATAAAGAGGTTGACTTTTTAGATAAGAAAGGAGGTTTTGTAGTACTTGTTTAAATTTTAAGTTCCACCAGACTTCTGGTAGTTTTGAAATGTCCTAGAATTAGATAAGTAAAACACAGCTCGCACTGTGACTCTATTAGCATCATTGAATGAAAACAACACAGGACCAGATGAACAGAGGGAAAATAACTGATGGAAAAATGTGGAATTTGAAGAAGAGTAAACAGTTTATCACTAGTACTTACACATGTATTGTATGACTGAGTGAAGAAAAAAGTAGCTGAACATAGCTTTTTTCTATTTTATTTTATTTTTTACTCTCATATATAGTGATTATGAAGAGAAATACTTGTAAGTTAAGTTATATACCTAATTCAGGTAGTCCTGAACATATATGTTGTTTTTATATGATCTCAGAAGGCATACACACATAGAATTAAGTAATACTAACTTATCTTACATTGAGGTTCCCTCCACTTAACCACATCACATTGTAAGATGAAGAAGACAAAGCTAGCAATTAAAATAGAATGTATGTGTGTGTGTGTGTGTGTGTGTGTGTATATATATATATATATATATGTATGAACATTATATTCTAATGTTCATACCCAATACATGATCCTAAGAGTAAAAGCTATACTTCACAAACATTTGGGATTGTAAATGTCTATACCTGACCTTACAAACTGTATTGAAACAATAAAACACATCAATATATTAAAATATAGATTTCATCAAACTACATTAATAGGATGTTGAACAATACAAGATAGTCTTTTGACCACTGTATGGCCACATAAGAGTGGCCTTGGGCTTGGAACATTTCCCTGCAAAGACATAAAGAGCCCTCAGAGCCTGTGTTGGGTATATAAACTTGTTTGAGCATATCTTTTCTCTATTCAGGGCTTGATGTGTACTTCTTTGTTCTGCTGAAGCACCCTAGGGTTCTCAGGTATACTTCCAGCTCTGTATTTCAGACCTGACTCTGAAAAGGTTGAGGTCCTTCTTTCATACTTCTTTCATACACACCACAAAAAAGACTTCATTGGCTGTTTATGATAGTCATTGGTCATGGGAACCAACATCCACTACTGAAGCTGATCTTGCTGTGTCTCTTCTCTATACCAATGAAGCATTATTCCATCCATCGCCTGTGTGAATATGATTCTTCTTGGGACTCTGAACTATGAAGTGTGCTGACATCTTGCAACTGCTGCTCCTAGTGGAGTAGGACCACTTTCCAGAATTTGTTAGCAGGTGTCATTTGCTGACACAAATCTTATAAATATATGTGGTGTTCAACCAGAAACACTTTGAAGAAGACACATGGTTCTTTTAAATTTATTTTTTATAATTTCAACTTTTATTTTAGATGCAGGGGGTACATATGCAGATTTGTTACATGAGAATATTGTGTGATGCTGAGAATTGGAGTACAGATCCTGTCACCCAGTTAGTGAGCATAGTATCCAGTAGATAGATTTTCAACCCAGACCCCTCCCTCCCCCATCTAGTAGTCCACAGTGTCCATTTTTTCCATATTTATGTCCATGTGTGCTCAATGTTTAGCTCTCACTCATAAAGTAGAACATGCAGTATTGTCTTTTCTGTTCCTGCATTAATTTGCTTAGAATTATGGCCTCCAGCTTCATCCACATTGCTGCAAAGGACATGATTTTTTTATGGCTGTATACTATGCCATGGTGTATGTGTACAAAATTTTCTTTATCCAATCTACCATTGATGGACACCTAGGCTGATATCATGTTGTTGCTATTGTGAATAGTGCTGCAATGGACATATTGGTGAATGTGTTTTTTCTGTTTTTGTTTGCTAGAATAATTTACTTTTCTTTAGGTATATAGACAGTAATGGGATTGCTGAGCCAAATGGTAGCTCCATTTTAAGTTCTTTGAGAAATCTCCAGACTATTTTCCAAAGTGGCTGGGCTAATTTACATTCCCACCAACAGTGTATAAATGTTCCCTTCTTTCTGCAGCCTTGCTGGCATCTTTTATTTATTTATTTATTTTAATAATTACCATTCTGACTGGTGTGAGAAAGCATTTCATTGTGGTTTTGATTGGCATTTCTCTGATGATTATTGGCCACATGTATGTCTTTCTTTGAGAAGTATCTGTTCTTGTCCATTGTCCATTTTGTAATGGAGTTATTTGATTTTTGCTTTTTGATTTGTGTAAGTTACCTATAGATTCTGGATTTTAGGCATTTGTCAGAAACTTAGTTTGCAAATACATAACTTGTTTATTTTAGAATAACTTCTGAATTTATTATTATTTGAACCAAGCCTAAAAATGTGATACATGAACATAGTTCATGTTCCTAGAAAATAATTTCATCAATTTATATATATAATGTAATTAAGTAATTGTATACATTTAATATAATTAATATAAATAAATTAATGAAAATAAATATTATATTAATATTAATATTTTCTAATTAGTCCACTTAAAATTAAACCTGCATTTTACACATTGTAAAAATAACATTCTCTATTCATGATTTAGATATATATTAGAGATAAAAAATAATTTGCCTGATTTTTTCATTAGAAATAACAGTTTAAAAATAGTGAAACTACAAATAATTGAAATTCTCAACTTATTACTTTTTTTGACATGCATTCAGTTATTCAGTGCCTGTTAAGAATCTTGGAAAATAATGAAGGCAAATTTAAGTCAATCAATTTGTTTAAAGGAAATATAAAAGAAGAAAATTAAACATAAATTAGCCTTACATTCATCATTCCAATAATTATAGAATTCTGGAACTATTGTTTTAAATAAGGTAGAGATTTGCATGGTGTAGCCAAATTTCCTTTAACTGGTCCTGAGTTCAGAAAATTTGATATGACATAAGAATAATGAGAAAAATACAAATAATGAAGCCATGCTCATCAGATTCAATTATAATTTCTGTATTTTAGGTGATTTTATAACTCTCTGCATTTATTCTGCAGTTCATTACTTTCCCTATGGTTATTTTATCTGTTCTGATACTTGGAAAATGTTTGCCACAATTTTGTTTATTATTAATATTTAGTAATTATAATAATTTCAGTATATAATAGTATATGCCTAACATGTAAAATAAATTATATCTCATGAAGCATACTAAGAATAAAAACTATACATCTTGAAAACAGATATTTTTTATTATACTTTAAGTTCTGGGATACATGTGCAGAATGTGCAGGTTTGTTACACAGGTATACACGTGCCATGGTGGTTTGCTGCACCCATCAACCCGTCATCTACATTAGGTATTTCTCCAAATGCTGTCCATCCCCTAGTCCTCCACCTCATGACAGGCCCTGGTATGTGATGTTCCTCTCCCTAAAAATTTATTCTTAGTTCACATTCTTGTTGTATACATCTAATTGTCAGTGAAAAAAATTGGAAATAAAATGTGATAAAACACTTACACCTACAGTTGCTCATTTGGGAATTACCACCACAAGGAAAACTATCAATTCTTATGAAGTAAATTATCTGTGGCTAATTTGTTGACCCATTCTTTTCCAAACAGAAGATAAAACATTGTATTCAACCTATCAGTTAGTTATCAAGAGAAAGTAAAACTATTATTTTAGAGGCAATTACATGTTGGAGAAATAAGCAGTCTGTGTTTGTTCATTTTTGCATACAATTCCACTTAAAACACTAGATATAAATCGGAATATCTTTCAAATTCTTAGTTGAGAAAAATGGCTAAAATTTTGCATATTTCCAAGCACTTATTAAACCTAATGTTTTTCAAATATAGTAAGGTTAGCAAATTGTTTCTCTCTACATCAAGATATAGATGAATCATCTTGTGAAAAATGTAAAATGATGGGTGTATTTATTGTTGCTTGCTTTCCATGGAATATAGATTTTGTTTCAATTCGTTTCTAAATCTTAATGTAGAGAGCAACAATTTGCCAACCTTACTACATTTGAAAGCATTAGATTTAACAAGTGCTTGGAAATATGCAAAATGTTGGCCATTTAAATCCTTTTTAATTTAATCTCTATATAGGCCTTTCTGTGTGTTTTGCCTCAGAAAACTGATAAACTGCACAAAGAACAATAAAATGGTTGAATCAGTTCTGCATTTCCAAGATCCAGTATCTCAGGAGAAAATGAAAAGATTAGGGAGCAGATTAACCTCGGTCAACAAGACCTAGAAATGTTAACAGGAGGAGTACCGGGTCCTGGGTTCTCATCTTGGAGGAATATATTCAACCAAGATGCACGGCAAGGGTTAAAAAGCAGCAAAGATTATTTAAAGTGACAGTATGCTCTGAAAGTCAAGGCAGAGCATGCTGCTTGAGAGAATGAGCCAGCCCCAACTAGTCCTGGGCAAACCCTCTTTATGAGAATCTTACATGATTATTCATGAAAGCGTGTGAGGGGGTGTTGCTTGCAAGCATGTTTCCAGTGGTCCCTCGGGCACACATGTGCTGTGGTTGTGTATGCTGGTACACATATTGCATGTCTCATTAGCATTTAAAATTTTCACCCAGGGCTATGTTTTGTACTATTATAATGAGTAAAAGGCTACTCTAGAGTGAGTGAGTTTTTGGAAGAATGTGCATGCTTGTCAGGATGAAGAGTCACTACTACAGTTTTCTCAGGCTAGGGCCAGATGAGCCCAATCCACGAGGAGAAGTGAGGACATAAGCCATTGTATTTTGCTGATTGTGAGTGGGTAGCCTCTCCAAGGATTCCTGCTCATTGCAGGCTATCTGCCTACTTTTAACGGAAAGTCCTGCGGGGTTTTCAGACTTTTAGCATTGTATAGAAGAAGCAGAATAATGTATTTGTTTTGTGTTTTGAGGTTCCTAAGCTGAAACTTAGAAATAGGCTTTGTATACTTTTTCATGTGTGTTTTGGCCATTTGTATGTCTTCTTAGGAAAAAATGTATTTTCAGGTGTTTTTTTTCATTTTTTAATTAGGTTATTTGTTGTTTTACTATTGAGTTATACAAGTTTCTTATATATTTTGAATGTTTGCCTCTTATCACACATATGGTTAATATTTTCTCACATTCTGTAGGTTACCTTTTCATTTTGTTGAGCTGTGCAGAAGCTGTGTAGTTTGTTGTAGTTCTACCCTTTTATTTTTGTTTGTATTGCCTGTGTTTTTGGTGTCATATCTAAAATCTCCTTGTCAAGACCAATGTCTTGTAGATTTTTTCCTATATTTTATTCTAGGAATTTTACAGTTTCAGGTTTTTTTGTTTAAGTCTTTAATATATTTTGAGCTGATTTTTATGTATGTTGTATGATAAGGATATACTCTTATATCTTTGGAGGTGGATGACCAGTTGTCCCAACACCATTTATTAAAAAGACTATCCTTTCCTTAATGAGTATTCTTGGCACTCTTCTTAAATATCTATTGACTATATATGCCTAGGTTTATTTCTGGACTTTTAATTCTATTTTATTGTCTATGTGTCTGTTTTTATGCCAGCACCATACTCTTTGGATTCCTATAGTTTTGTAATATAATTTGAAATCAAGAACTGTGATGGCTCCAGCTTTGTTTATCTTGCTCAACATTGATTTAATTATTTGGTGTCTTTTGTGGTTTCATATGAATTTTAGGATTTTTTAATTACTCTGAAAAATGCCAATGAACAGTTGATATGTATTGCACTGAATCTACAAATTGTTATGGTAGTATGAACATTTAGACAATATTGACTCTTAAAATCCGTGAGCATGAAATATCTTTCTATTTATTTATATCTTATTCACTTTCTTATAGTTTTCAGTGTACAGATTTTTCATCTTGCTTAAATTAATTCTTTTTTTTTTTTTCTTTTTTTATTATACTTTAGGTTTTAGGGTACATGTGCACACTGTGCAGGTTAGTTACATATGTATACATGTGCCATGCTGGTGCGCTGCACCCACTAACTCGTCATCTAGCATTAGGTATATCTCCCAATGCTATCCCTCCCCCCTCCCCCCACCCCACCACAGTCCCCAGAGTGTGATATTCCCCTTCCTGTGTCCATGTGATCTCATTGTTCAATTCCCACCTATGAGTGAGAATATGCGGTGTTTGGTTTTTTGTTCTTGCGATAGTTTACTGAGAATGATGGTTTCCAATTTCATCCATGTCCCTACAAAGGACATGAACTCATCATTTTTTATGGCTGCATAGTATTCCATGGTGTATATGTGCCACATTTTCTTAATCCAGTCTATCATTGTTGGACATTTGGGTTGGTTCCAAGTCTTTGCTATTGTGAATAATGCCGCAATAAACATACCTGTGCATGTGTCTTTATAGCAGCATGATTTATAGTCATTTGGGTATATACCCAGTAATGGGATGGCTGGGTCAAATGGTATTTCTAGTTCTAGATCCCTGAGGAATCGCCACACTGACTTCCACAATGGTTGAACTAGTTTACAGTCCCACCAACAATGTAAAAGTGTTCCTATTTCTCCACATCCTCTCCAGCACCTGTTGTTTCCTGACTTTTTAATGATTGCGATTCTAACTGGTGTGAGATGGTATCTCATTGTGGTTTTGATTTGCATTTCTCTGATGGCCAGTGATGATGAGCATTTTTTCATGTGTTTTTTGGCTGCATAAATGTCTTCTTTTGAGAAGTGTCTGTTCATGTCCTTCGCCCACTTTTTGATGGGGTTGTTTGTTTTTTTCTTGTAAATTTGTTTGAGTTCATTGTAGATTCTGGATATTAGCCCTTTGTCAGATGAGTAGGTTGCGAAAATTTTCTCCCATTTTGTAGGTTGCCTGTTCACTCTGATGGTAGTTTCTTTTGCTGTGCAGAAGCTCTTTAGTTTAATTAGATCCCATTTGTCAATTTTGTCTTTTGTTGCCATTGCTTTTGGTGTTTTGGACATGAAGTCCTTGCCCATGCCTATGTCCTGAATGGTAATGCCTAGGTTTTCTTCTAGGGTTTTTATGGTTTTAGGTCTAACGTTTAAATCTTTAATCCATCTTGAATTGATTTTTGTATAAGGTGTAAGGAAGGGATCCAGTTTCAGCTTTCTACATATGGCTAGCCAGTTTTCCCAGCACCATTTATTAAATAGGGAATCCTTTCCCCATTTCTTGTTTTTCTCAGGTTTGTCAAAGATCAGACAGTTGTAGGTATGTGGTGTTATTTCTGAGGGCTCTGTTCTGTTCCATTGATCTATATCTCTGTTTTGGTACCAGTACCATGCTGTTTTGGTTACTGTAGCCTTGTAGTAAAGTTTGAAGTCAGGTAGTGTGATGCCTCCAGCTTTGTTCTTTTGGCTTAGGATTGACTTGGCGATGCGGGCTCTTTTTTGGTTCCATATGAACTTTAAAGTAGTTTTTTCCAATTCTGTGAAGAAAGTCATTGGTAGCTTGATGGAGATGGCATTGAATCTGTAAGTTACCTTGGGCAGTATGGCCATTTTCACAATATTAATTCTTCCTACCCATGAGCATGGAATGTTCTTCCATTTGTTTGTATCCTCTTTTATTTCCTTGAGCAGTGGTTTGTAGTTCTCCTTGAAGAGGTCCTTCACATCCCTTGTAAGTTAGAACCAAAGACAAAAACCACATGATTATCTCAATAGATGCAGAAAAAGCCTTTGACAAAATTCAACAACGCTTCATGCTAAAAACTCTCAATAAATTAGGTATTGATGGGACGTATCTCAAAATAATAAGAGCTATCTATGACAAACCCACAGCCAATATCATACTGAATGGGCAAAAACTGGAAGCATTCCCTTTGAAAACTGGCACAAGACAGGGATGCCCTCTCTCACCACTCCTATTCAACATAGTGTTGGAAGTTCTGGCCAGGGCAATTAGGCAGGAGAAGGAAATAAAGGGTATTCAGTTAGGAAAAGAGGAAGTCAAATTGTCCCTGTTTGCAGATGACATGATTGTATATCTAGAAAACCCCATTGTCTCAGCCCAAAATCTCCTTAAGCTGATAAGCAACTTCAGCAAAGTCTCAGGATACAAAATCAATGTACAAAAATCACAAGCATTCTTATACACCAACAACAGACAGAGAGCCAAATCATGAGTGAACTCCCATTCACAATTGCTTCAAAGAGAATAAAATTAATTCTTAAGTACAGTCAACCTTTCATTACCATGGATTCTGCACCTGTGGATTCAACCACAGTTGATCAAAAATTAAAAAAATAATAAATAACAACACAACAATAAAAATAATGAAAATAAAAATTTTATTCATATTTTATTCTTTTTGATGATATTGTAAATGGGCTTGTTTTTTCAATTTTTTTGACAATTTGTTGTTATGTATAGAAACACCACTGATTTTTTGTATGTTGACTTTATATTCTGGAACATTAATAATTCATTTATTAGTTCTAATAGCTGTTAGGTTTAGTCTTTTAGGTTTTCTATTTGTAAGATTTTGTCATATGGACACAGAAGCAAAACGTCTTCCTTTGTTATTTTTATTGCTTTCAATTATTTTATTACTTCTTCTTGCCTAATTGTTCTGTCGAGGACTTCCAATACTATGTTGAATAGAAGTAAAGAGAGTGGACATTCTTGTCCTTGGTCTTAGAGAAAAAAAGCTTTCAACTTTTTGCTAGTGAGTATGATGTTAGATGTTTCCTTACCAGATATTGCCTTTGTCATGTTATTATATTCTTTCTATATCTAATTTGTCTAACCATCAGATAAATATAAATCAAAAGCACAATAAGACATCACCTCACACTTGTTAGCAAGGCTATATCCAAAAGTCAAAGTAGATCTCGTGGAGATGTGGAGAAAAGGAAACTCTTGTACATTATTGGTGGAAAAGTAGATTGACGCAGTCCTTAGGGAAAACAATATGGAAGATTTTCTAAAACTAAAAAGTTAGAACTGTCATATGATCCAGAATCTCCACTTTTCGGTATATATCTAAAGGAAATGAAATTAGTATGTTCAAGAGATATCTGTACTCCAATGTTCATTGCTACATTAGTAACAATCATCAAATATGGAAACAACCTAAGTGTCCATCCATGGACCAATGAATAAAGAAAATGTGAATATATGCATACGCATGCTCACACACACACACACACACACACACACACACACACGAATATTACCTAGGCTTCAAAAAGAAGGATATCCATCATTTGGGCCAACATGGATGAATCTGAAGTGTACCATGCTAAGTGAAATAAGCCAGATACAGAAAGACAAATTCTGCATAATCCTACTTATATTTAGAATATAGAAAAGATTTATAGAGGTGTAGTTGGCAAATAAAATTATATATACCTTTAAAGTATAAAACATCATGTTTGGATATATCTGTACATTCTGAAATAGCAAAATCAAGTTAATTAACATATTTATCACCTCACATACTTACAGAGATTAGAAGTGTAGTTACCATGGGCACCCTCACAGATACATCCAGGATCACAAACCGAGGATCAATACTTTGCATTCTTCAATCCAACCAAGTTGAAACTCAATATCAACCATCACAAGTCTACCCCTTATCAAATTAAACATCTACTGAGATTATACATAATCTTGAAATAAAGACAATAATAAGGTCATAATTATGCCTAATATAATACAACTATTCATCCTACAATGGGAAACACGCCAATCCCCAACTCAAATGCTAAAACCAACACTTAAATTCTGATATGAAGTCAATTAATCTTATGTCACATGATAAAGGAAAAAAGGAAAAAAGTTTCTTCAGAATCTACAAGCTCAGTGTCCCCAGCTTCATCAGGGTCCTCCCACACATCCCCATTCCAAGTTGCAGGCTCCCATTCTTTTCCAATCAATGCCTTCACATTAACAGTAGACACCTGCTGAGGCTCTGTATGCACCTTTCATTGCAGGTCAGCCACTCACATGATAAGAGCCTGTGTCTGATTATCCACACTTTCAGCTCTTTTTCTACAAGAGATAAGACTCACTCATGGCAATATTAGCAGATCTGAGGCTCAGTATCTGCTTCTGAAGCTGGGAGTTAGAATCCTAAGTTCATTTTCTTTCAACACTTTGTCCAGCGAACTTAGGAGCAACCAACCAACTTCATTATGTTTCTTGGTTCTCCACATATGGTCAAAGGTATTATGTATAGAGTCACTAAACTCCTTGCCTCTCACAAGGGGTGAATCAAGAGTGTCCAATGCATTTATTTTGCATAACTCTCCAAACAGTTCATGCCAAAGACTCTCAGTGTTCTCCATATTGTTAGATGTAGAGTCCTTAGCATTTTAGGGTCTAATCACATTAAGCAGCCAACTTCAGAAACCCCCAAACCAACAAAAGGACTCCATCCTTAATATTCTGTTCCTCTAGAAACACTCTTTGTATTAAAATCAGTATTAGGATTCTCTAGAGGGACAGAACTAATAGGACATATATATGAGTTTATTAATATGTTATATATTAATATAAATGAGTATATTATTATGATATATATATATATGAGTTTATTAAGGAATATTAACTCACAGGATCACAAGATCCAACAATAAGCCATCTGCAAGCTGAGGAACAAGAAAGTCAGCCCAAGTCCCAAAGCTGAAGAGCTTGGAGTCTGATGTTTGAGGGCAAGAAGCATTCAGCACAGGAGGAAGATGTAGGCTGGAAGGCTAAGCTAGTCTAGTCTTTTCCCATTCTTCAGTCTGCTTTTTATTCCACCTGCACTGGCATATGATTAGATTGTGCTGACCCAGATTAAGGGTGGATCTGTCTTTCCCAGTCCACTGACTCAAACGTTAATCTTGGCAACACCTTCACAAACATACCCAGGAACAATACTTTGCAACCTTCAATCCAATCGGTTTGACACTCAGTATTAACCATCACACAGCATTATGAAAAGATAGGCAAAATTTAAAAAATCTAATATTTTTAATTTGAAAAATATCCAAAAATTAGCAATGCACATGGAGCTCAAACAAAACACAATATGAGAGTTTTGAAAGTCAATTTTAATATCATATGTATATGATATGTAATTTAGTGTATAAGACAGGGTGGTACTATAAGAGAATTAATACTAATATAAAATAAAGATTTCAAAATCCTGGACATTGTCACACTACAAAATTAAGAGGTCAGAGAGATAAGAAATAAATGGTAAGTAGAACAGCAGAAGTCAGCAGTTACTAGTGATTAAGAAAAAAAAGAAGTCTTCTCTCTCATAAGGTATGTTTGTTTTCACCTAGCATACTGTTTCATGGAAGTTTTAGACTGATGGCTGTAGCTTAATACAGAGGCTTGTGTTTACAAACTTAATATCTCATCTTATATGGTTATGTGATCATACCACAGACAAGGCTCTCTTGTCTTTGACATGGGTATAGAAATCAAAGCCTTTGGTCACAAGAGATCAGTAAATATTACCATGAGAGGCACTAGTTTTAATATTTCCTTACCTCTTTGGATTTATTTTATAGTTTGTTTTGTGGGGAGGGGAAGAGGATAATTTCTTAATTTTTGGTCATACCACCCATTTGTAAACAAAATTGTTTATCTGTTGTCCAAGATTTTAGTTGTTTTGAGGAGTAATGATTTCTCATGTACTTTCTCTGTCATATTATCAGAAACATAAGTCCAATGTATTTATTTTAAAGGATTTTTTAATCTTAATTTATAGCATTGCACCAACATTCTCTTACAAACATAAAAGGTAAAGCATTATAAATTACATTAGTTTCAAAAAATTCACTATATGGTTATGTATGCACAAACCTACATGAGCTTTTAAAATTAAATTGATGCTTTGGTTAACTTTCGTATAAGACTGAGGCTATTCCATTTACATTGTTCAATAATGTGTATGTCTACGTCTTGCATCTTCTGAGATGGCAGTAAAGTTTTTCACTGCAGTAGCATGAATCGTATATTTTTTCAGCTTATTAAACTAAAGAGTTATAATAATAGTGTTAATGATGTTGACATCAAGAATAAAGAAAAAGGATGATAATGGCTGTAGTTAATGGATGTATGCATGATTATGCATTCATGAGTTTATTTATGTAAGAATATTCTTTGGGAATTTACTCTGTGTCAGAGTCTGTGGTAGCAAATTGTGGTTGTGATACTCTGGTGATATGATAGATGAACGTTTCGTCATTAGGGATCTTACAGTAAATATAGCTGAAGTTGATGAAAACTGTCAAAAAAAATAGTGGATAAATAGTTAGATGAATCAAATCTCTTTTTGGCATACTAATGAGTGACTGACATCAATCTTAGAAAATAAATTGATGAAGTAGCTGGCAGAAAATATTGGGGTGATGGTTGAAAAGGGGGTTATAAGAGACGAGTGGGAATAGCCATTTATGAAGAAATAAATTTAAAGTGTAAGACCATTCTGATTAGCAACTTTTCAAGGACTAAAGAAAAATAAGTAAAAGCTTAATTTTTAATGAAATATTGTGAATAGACCAACAACAGGCTCTGAAATTGAGGCAATAATTAATATTCTACCAACCAAAAAAAGTCCAGGACCAGGCGGCTTCACAGTCGAATTCTACCAGAGGTACAAGGAGGAGCTGGTACCATTCCTTCTGAAACTATTCCAATCAATAGAAAAAGAGGGAATCCTCCCTAACTCATTTTATAAGGCCAGCATCATCCCGATACCAAAGCCTGGCAGAGACACAACACAAAAAAAGACAATTTTAGACCAATATCCCTGATGAACATCAATGCAAAAATCCTCAATAATATACTGGCAAACCAAATCCAGCAGCACATCAAAAAGCTTATCCACCATGATCAAGTGGGCTTCATCCCTGGAATGCAAGGCTGCTTCAACACACTCAAATCAATAAATATAATCCAGCATATAAACAGAACCAAAGACAAAAACCACATGATTATCTCAATAGATGCAGAAAACGCCTTCGACAAAATTCAACAGCCCTTCATGCTAAAAATTCTCAATAAATTAGGTATTGATGGGACATATCTCAAAATAATAAGAGCTATTTATAACAAACCCACAGCCAATATCATACTGAATGGGCAAAAACTGGAAGCATTCCCTTTGCAAACTGGCACAAGACAGGGATGCCCTCTCTCACCACTCCTATTCAACATAGTGTTGGAAGTTCTGGCTGGGGCAATCAGGAAGGAGAAAGAAATAAAGAGTTTTAATTAGGAAAAGAGGAAGTCAAGTTGTACCTGTTTGTAGATCACATGATTGTATCTTTAGAAAACCCCATCGTCTCAGCCCAAAATCTCCTTAAGCTGATAGGCAACTTCAGCAAAGTCTTAGGATACAAAATCAATGTGCAAAAACCACAAGCACTCTTATAAACCAATAACAGACAGAGAGCCAAATCATGAGTGGACTCCCATTCACAATTGCTTCAAAGAGAATAAAATACCTAGGAATCCAACTTACAAGGGATGTGAAGGACCTCTTCAAGGAGAACTACAAACCACTGCTCAATGAAATAAAAGAGGACACAAACAAATGGAGGAACATTCCATGTTCATGGATAGGAAGAATCAATATCATGAAAATGGGATACTGTCCAAGGTAATTTATAGATTCAATGCCATCCCCATCAAGCTACCAATGACTTTCTTCACAGAATTGGAAAAAACTACTTTAAAGTTCATATGGAACCAAAAAAGAGCCTGCATCACCAAGTCAATCCTAAGCCAAAAGAACAAAGCTGGAGGCATCACACTACCTGACTTCAAACTATACTACAAGGCAGTAACCAAAACAGCATGGTACTGGTAACAAAACAGAGATATAGACCAATGGAACAGAACAGAGCCCTCAGAAATAATACCACACATCTACAACCATCTGATATTTGACAAACCTGACAAAAACAAGCAATGGGGAAAGGATTCCCTATTTAATAAATGGTGCTGGGAAAACTGGCTAGCCATATGTAGAAAGCTGAAACTGGATCCCTTCCTTACACCTTATACAAAAATCAATTCAAGATGGATTAAAGACTTAAGTGTTAGACATAAAACCATAAAAACTCTAGAAGAAAACCTAGACAATACCATTTAGGACATAGGCATGGACAAGGATTTCATGTCTAAAACACCAAAAGCAATGGCAACAAAAGCCAAAATTGACAAATAGGATCTAATTAAACTAAAGAGCTTCTGCACAGTAAAAGAAACTACCATCAGAGTGAACAGGCAACCTACAGAATGGGAAAAAAAAATTGCAATCTACTCATCTGACAAAGGGCTAATATCCAGAATCTACAATGAACTCAAACAAATTTATAAGAAAAAAACAACCCTATCAAAAAGTGGGCGAAGGATATGAACAGACACTTCTCAAAAGAAGACATTTATGCAGCCAACAGACACATGAAAAAATGCTCATCATCACTGGCCCTCAGAGAAGTGCAAATCAAAACCACAATGAGATACCATCTCACACAAGTTACAAGGGCGATCATTAAAAAGTCAGGAAACAACAGGTGCTGGAGAGGATGTGGAGAAATAGGAATACTTTTACACTGTTGGTGGGACTGTAAACTAGTTCAACCATTGTGGAAGACAGTGCGGCAATTCTTCAAGGATCTAGAACTAGAAATACCATCCCGACCCAGCCATCCCATTACTGAGTATATACCCAAAGGATTATAAATCATGCCGCTATAAAGACACATACACACGTATGTTTATTGTGGCACTATTCACAATAGCAAAGACTTGGAACCAACCCAAATGTCCGTCAATGATAGACTGGATTAAGAAAATGTGGCACATATACACCATGGAATACTATGCAGCCATAAAAAGGATAAGTTCGTGTCCTTTGTAGGGACATGGATGAAGCTGGAAACCGTCATTCTCAGCAAAGTATCACAAGGACAAAAAACCAAACACCGCATGTTCTCACTCATAGGTGGGAATTGAACAATGAGAACACTTGGACACAGGAAAGGGGACATCACACACCAGGGCCTGTCATGGGGTTGAGGGAGGGAGGAGGGATAGCATTAGGAGATTTACCTAATGTAAATGACGAGTTAATGGGTGCAGCACACCAACAGGGGACATGTATACATATGTAACAAATCTGCACATTATGCACATGTACCCTAGAAATTAAAGTATAATAAAAAAACAATAACAACAGTACAAAAACTGGATGAACTGTTGGTTAGCATCTTAGTGTATAAGAAATATTTACTATATTTTAAATATTTCAAAATAGGTTTTCCTAATTCTTCAATGTTTCCGTTTTGTCTTTTTTTTTTTTTTTTTTACAACTTTTACTACATTTCCTACATCTTCCAACAGTTCTTTTTTGTTCCCTTTAAGCCAGCTCATCCAATTCAGTTTTTAAACATTGACCTTGATAATTTTATCATCTGCTGTCTCAGAAATATCATACTACAAAAGGCTATCTCTTGAAATAATTTTATTTTCTTCCACAGAGCTCTTCAAAATTATTTAATGTTTTAGGTCACACTTTATTTAGTACTTCTTGATTATCTATTTCTATTCAATACATCCTCACATCGTGGTCAGTGTATTCAAAGAGTAAGTGTGATCCTTCTACAATATTGTTAAATGTATGTGTTGTATGCTATTCAAGAGGAAGAAAGTGTATGATGTTATAAAGGAAGTAATAAACACCTCAACGGTAAAATTCACGAGTGGCTTACAGATGACCCTGTATCCTATCTGCTATTTGCTGAATGAAACAAAATATTTATCTATTTCCATCTCCAAACACTTAAAGAAGAACAAAAAGTGTATTGTAGTTTTCACTAATCATTCATTTTATCAGACTTCCAGAATGTAACAAGTCCTCATTCTTGGCACCTGAATAACCTATGGTTGTTGGAATAATACTGCAAGCTCTTTTTAAACTACATTTTGTTCATATTACTCATAGGCTAATGAGTTGTTCTTCCCTTCAAATGCTTATATTTAAATTTTTATGCTTGAGAGGGTTTTATCATTTAATACATGCATGTTTTATGTTCTATTACGTTTCTTTCTGCTACAAGATTCTTAAATATATTAGAATAATTCTCTTGAAAATGTGAGTGAGAAATGATTTCTATTCTCTTAAGCATCTCTTTACTCACAGAAAGAGTTTATTTTTCTTTTTTTTCTATATTCCTGAACAAGCATACATTCATTTCAGTGACTTAAAGTATATTGGCCCCAAATATCAGCTCCTTTATGTAACCAATATGTGAATGTTTGATTTTTATTCATAATCTTGTTTCTGTGAGAGTCTCATGTTTCCTGTTACTCTCTTCTGACTTTGAATGAATGGGTAAATCATCTTACAACTATTTTGTGTATGAGTTTGGCAAGAATTTTATACTTACTGAGGTATTATCTAAAAATTATATATATATATAAATTCATGAACTGCTGCACAATAAAACATTCATAAACTTCTGCACAATTTAACATTCACATTTAAATTTATCCAGTTTTGAAATTTGGTTAAAAATTCTGATTTCTAAAACTTATCTGCCAACACGAATAGCTCTTCGACTTCTTTTCAGTTCTATTTTCACCTAAGGAAATCATTTGTCTAATCATGACATGTTTTTCTAAGGCAGAAACAATGGAGAAAACTACATTGAGACACATTGTAAAGTGGCTGCTTAGCCACTGTGTTGTCCATGTCATTAGACAAGTGGCTCACTCCCATACAGAAACCTGAAAAATTGAAAATAAGCACATACCAGTGACCTTTGGAGTCACTTGCAAGTACTTGTAGCTGGCAGTGATAAATTTACACTTTCCGAATTTTATAATACTTCATACATTTGCCATTTTTTAGAATCATTATCACCATAATATTTCACTTCTTTTTTTTTTTTTTTTTTTTTGAGACGGAGTCTCGCTCTGTCGCCCAGGCCGGACTGCGGACTGCAGTGGCGCAATCTCGGCTCACTGCAAGCTCGGCTTCCCGGGTTCACGCCATTCTCCTGCCTCAGCCTCCCGAGTAGCTGGGACTACAGGCGCCCGCCACCGCGCCCGGCTAATTTTTTGTATTTTTAGTAGAGACGGGGTTTCACCTTGTTAGCCAGGATGGTCTCGATCTCCTGACCTCATGATCCACCCGCCTCGGCCTCCCAAAGTGCTGGGATTACAGGCGTAAGCCACCGCGCCCGGCCAATATTTCACTTCTTATCCAGTCTTTCTATATTATATTTTACCATAAAAGATCATCTAGGTTGATCATATACTTAGGAAAGAGAATCACATATTTTCAAGTGCCGTGCAATAGGGAAAAAGTTGATGTGGACTTCAAGACTCCACCCTAATTAGACTGGACTATGGCATAGAAATAAAAATAATCTTAAACACAACACTTTAGGGAACTTTCCCTTTTCAGAAAGTTTTCAATAATTCGGAAGCTGTTCCTTTCTTGAACTATTATCTAAATATAGATAAATACTGGTTCTCTACAGATAAACAAAGCAGAGGGTCTTGATTTATTTATTTATTTTATTTAGTTATTTTGAGACCGATTCACCCTCTGTCACCCAGGCTGGAGTGTAATGGCGCCATCTTGGCTCACTGTAACCTCTGCCTTCTGGGTTCAAGTGACTCTCCTGCCTCAGCCACCTCCGTAGCTGGAACTACAGGCAGGTGCTGCCATACCCAGCTATATTTTGTATTTTTAGTAGACATATGGTTTCACCATGTTGACCAGGTTTGTCTCAAACACCTGACCTCAAGGGATCCACCCACCTTGGCCTCCCAAAGTGCTGGGATTACAGGCATGAGCCACCCCACCAGGCCTGATCTATTTTCTTTTTTTAACATCTGAAGTCTTATGTGGTGCCTTTAAGCTTCTAGCTTTATATCCTCTATTGAAACCAGTAGTAACTTTATAATAACTTTATATTTACTGTCAAAATCAATTTCAATTATTGTTAAAATAATATATGCAACACTGTTTCAAAAATACCATGACAGATTTTTGTTTTGTTTTGTTTTGTATTTTTTTTTTATTTTAGAAGGTAATATTACCTCTTTGGATCATCACCATGGTTCTCAAAAGAATACATGGCAATATTCGCAGAAGCAGCCTTTACCAAATATCAATTATTTTCCTGCTGCTTTCCATTAAAAAAGAGAAAATAAACAAATTAGCACATTGGCCTATTCCCCAAGATAAGACTGTAGTTAAAGCAGTCAACTCCTTTTTATTCTGCTTTTCCCGGATAATTTCATGCTTCTGTTTTTTTTTCCTCAGGATAATGGGAGAGAGCATGTTATTAGTATACAATATATAAGGAGGTTGATGACCTATTGTTATGGTGTAGGGACCCCAAAATACTCCTAGAATTCATAACAAAAACACACATGCACACACACGTGCACGCACACAAAAACACACACACATATACACTAATGATATATTCAGCAGACATTTTATAGTTTATGTTATCCTGTTTGCCTCTAAGCCAGTGATTTTAAATTGCTTTTCTGGTTATATTTGTTTTGTTTGTTTTGCTTTCTTTTGTTTTGTTTTAATAACAGCTAACTTCTCTACTCAATGAAAAAATGGATTCAATGAATGTCAATGGCTCTACTATAGCATTTCTGGTTTTCTTGTTAGAGGTGGGATCAAGGACCACAGATATGCCAGATCCCTTCTCTTTTTTCCCTGAAGTTGCGATAAAAGTCCTAATGAAATGAAACAAGCAAATAAAAACAAACTAAAAACATGTTCCCTAACAGCACAGTTTGAACAACGTTGGTATAAGTTTTCCATGGCTTAGAGGGAGTATCTCAAAACACATCTTGATGTTAGCTTATGCAGGAAAGGCAATGACATTTTCATTGTTGTTGCTGTAGATTTTTCATAAAGCATTCACTTCAGCTGTCGTTAGGGAGGTATTTGAAACTCAAACATTAACTAAAATAATGAGTTTTCACACATTTTTACTAAGTGATAATTGCAATATGAAAAGAATAAAGTGATTTTTTAACTGCTACATATTTTAAAAGAGATTTTTATTTTTTTTACATATTTAAGGCCATGATCCTTATTCAAATGCACACTAATTAAAGCTTTGTGCCAAAGAAAATGCACTTAAGATATAAGAAATATACCTTTATTATAAAATGAGTCTTGAAAAATGTGACAAATACGTCAGTATAAACTGACTGACTTCTTTATGTTGAATTAAAGGTCAAAGGCTTGAAATGTAGTTAGGAGGGCCAGACAGAAGAATAATAGGACCACAATGCCCGATAATATGTGCTACTCGGCTAACAAGTTAAAAGTATTGAAAAATAGCACACATTCAGGTCCCTGTACTATAATATCATGGATAATTTGAATCAAAGTATATCTTAAAACAGGATTTTTTTTAGCACATAGAAAGAATGCAGGAAAGGACAAGAGAAGGGAAAGAGAAGAAAAGGGGAGGCCAAATATTGGGTACAAATACACTTCACAATAATCTAAAAATTATTCAAAGTGTGCTCTGTGTAATTATGCTAGAGGGAAAATGCATGTGTTATGCCATTCTTTTGTTACTGTAAAGAAATAACTGAGATGGTAATTTATTTTTTAAAAAGACAGTTTTTTTGGCTCACAGTTCTTTAGGCTGTAAAGGAAGTATGGTGCTGGCATCTGCTTCACGTGAGGGCCTCAGAAAGCTTCTTATTATGGCGGAATGCAAAGTGTAGAGCCAGTGCACCACACGGTGAGACCAGGAGTGAAAGGGTGGGGAGAGATGCCACGCACTTATCAACAACCAGATCTGGCATGGATTCAGAGCAGAAACTCACTCATCACCAAGGAATAGTGCTAAGCTATTCATAAGGGATCTTCCCTCATGATCCAAATACCTCCCACCAGGCTCTATCTTCAACACTGAGGATGACATTTCAACATGAGATTTGGAGGTGACAAACATCTAGACCATATGTTCCCACCCCTGCTCCCCAAAATCTCATGCCCTTATATTGCAAAATGCAATTATTCATTCCCAATAGTCCCCTGAAGTCTTAATTTGTTCCACCATCAAGTCTAATGTCCTATGTCTCATCTGAGACTTTTCTTCTTCCACCTATGAGACTGTGAAATCAAAGTTATTTATTTCCAAGACACAATGGTGGTACAGGCATTCGGTAGATATTCCTATTCCAAAATGAAGAAATTGGTCAAAAGAAAGGGGCAATAAGCTCCATGCAAATCTAAAACCCAGCAGGGCAGCTATTAAATTTTAAAGCTCCCAGATAATCTCATTTGACTTCATGTCTTATATCCAGGACACTCTGGTGGAAGGGGTGGTCTCCCAAGGCCTTGGGCAACTCAGCCCCTGTGGTTTTGTAGAGTTCAGCCCCTGTGGCTGTTCTCATGGGTTTGAGTTTAATGTTTGCAGATTTTCTAGGCACGTGATGTAAGCTGCCATTGGATCTATCATTCTTGGGTATGGAGTGGATTACAATTTTTGAAAATAGAATAAAATTTAAGTGACATGCAAAGTTTACATTACTTTGTATAAAACAGTGCTGCTATCATGTCTTTAATTTTAAATTTGTCATAAACCATTCTGAAACTTTTTATTAGACTACCTTATCATTTTAAATATTCAGAAACAATATAAGAATAATTCTAATATATTTGAAATATTACATTTTACTTTGATTTGACTTTATCTAAAAAATAGTACCTGAAAATAGGAAAAAAATAAAACTGGAAAATTGAAGTATCTGCTTTATAAACATATAAATCTGGATTTGTATTTATGCTGCAAATTTATAAATTTGTACACATTATTTACTTTTTAGACCCTCAGTATTTTAACTGAAAAATGGAGATATAGTATTTTTCATAGAAGTAAATTACATTACAAAATATTTTAAAAGTACTAAGGTCAATAACTGGAATATAAGGAGAGCTTCATAGGGTATTACAATAGTTACTGTTTTAAATTCAACAGCTTTAAATAATATTTCATGGGTTCAATGTATAACCCTGTAACTTTGAAGTTTTTCAGTTTGTTTCATGTATATAATCACCCAAAGTACTTCAAATTTTTACCTTGCTAAAGTGCAGACTTTAGTAAGCATTCTCTTATTAACAACAAAAGAAAGATCCTTCCTGCCTCCTGGGCTTCAGTACCTTTCACAGAGTGTCTCAGTTGTCTCACAACACAAGCCCAATGGTCGTATGGCTTTCCTGTTTGAATAAATGGGAAGCTACAGGAGTTCACACAATCTATTCCACAATATTCCCTCCAACCTTTTGTGAACAGTTTTATATAGTTTCTTTATTGTTAAAACAAGTGAAACAGAGAAAAACTAATAAAAACATAGTTGTTGATTTTGTAGTGGAACAAATTACATTTAAGTCATGTCCAGGTACATGGTTAGAGGATATCTTTTTGCACATGTCTATGTATATAAAGCAAATGGTAAAAAGAGTAGTGTTCTTTAAATTTCTGAATTTGAATAAAATGCATCCATAGAATGTTTTTGGAATATTTATTTGAGTGAAAAGTGATTCAATGTCCAAACAGAAATTTAAGATAAAAAATAAAAATTGAAAAAAAATAGATTCTGAGATAAAAGCCTTATTTATATCACAGATTTTATTATATTTAGAAGGCTGATGAATCAGAAATAACTTAATGAAAGATAATATTAACTAAGCTTAAAATAGTCAAAAATAGTTAAAATATTAACAGTTGAAAAATTAAGTTATACTTAGCATTATAGATGTCAGAACTAATCTATGAGCTTTATAGATTATTGAAAATGATTATAAATATGTTAAGCACTAAATATGAAAATAATGACCTCATTAACTCTCCTGAGGTGATGGTGACAAACTTGATAGTTACAGACAATCTAGTATAATATTAAATTTAAAATGTAGCTGGCATTAAGTATTGCTCTCATTCTACTTTTATAAGAAAACTCAACATTCTATTTTTTAATAAAATTATACTTATGAGTTTTACATTCCTTTTGTCCCAACATGTTACTAAAGAAATTTTTAAATGAGGATAATCTTAGCAAAAGGAGAAAAAGAGAAAACATTGTACAGAATGATTGATTGCTATGAAAGCATAACTATTTGTCATGAGAAATAAACGTTGGTTAAATTCATGAGAAAGTCATTTACTTTTTAATGAAAGGAAGATTCTCAATCTGAAATATACTGAATGTATAATCGAATTAATATTGTACTAACGAGGGTTTATTGCTGATATATAAGCTTATTTTGATAATCCACAGATTATGAGTGTGATGTTAGGGTGTCAATTTTAGTTCTTTCCTGCTTTCTCTTGGGGGCATTTGGTGCTATAAATTTTCCTCTACACACTGCTTTAAATGTGTCCCAGAAAAAAAAAAAATGACTGTGAGTTATATGCTTATACCTATCATTGATGCTCTTAATGATTCGAAGACATACAGAAAAATTAAAATTTTATATTTATACTAGAATTAGCTTTCAATACTGTATAACTTTGCATACCCATTACTCCTGGTTTCATCTCATCTTTCTCAATCCATTTGTCTAATAAATCTGATCTCTTAATTTGCAAAAATATTTCACATCTGCTCTTGAAATATATTGTTCTATCTCCTTAATTATCCAAAAATACCCACCTAATCTTACTGCCAACTGACTACCTAGTCCAGGTTTTCTCTTTGCTTTGAGAACTCTGATATATGTTTCACATTGTCTCCTAGTGTTCCAGTTGTCCAAAATTGCACCCTATTTGAGGTGCGTTTATTATTTCCTTATCTCTACTCTCTCAACTTTTCACTCTTCTACTAGTTCTTTGTGGAATTATCCCATAAACTAGTAGTTCACAATTTCTTATTAAAGTATACGCTTTTGGGGGAACCAAACAAAACACATGGGTTCTAATCAAATGTAAATGAAAATCTACAGAATTTCTGCAAAAGTCAGCAGTTCTACAATGATGATAGTATATATTAATAAGCTCACTTTTAATCGTTGTTTAGCAAAAAAAAATTATTGTCTCTCATGAGATTATCATTGCCAATATAAAACTACAAAGTTTTTTAAAGTCCAAGCAAACAAAACATTACAATATCATTTAAAATTACATTTACCATCTCTTGGTACCAGATATCTATATAAAAAGACCGCTTGCTGAATAAGCAAGTACTTTAGAATTGCTGAAAGTGGCTTCTATAAATCATTTATATACAGCTGTGTAACTTGTACATTGTCAAAATTAGCTTTGACAGCAAACTGGGAGATGAAATGTTGAGGCTTAAAACTGCCATCATTACCTAGATCAACTCTTCCAAGTATATATTCACATAAATGTAAATAAACATATATTCATGAATATATAGTGTGTGTATGTGTATATATATATACACACATATATGTGTGTATGTGTGTGTGTGTATATATATATTAACTATATATGTGTGAAACTTTCTCTCTGGTTTCATTAAGTCAGTGGGCTATGGTGGTGATTGGCTTAATTTTCATAGATACCTCGCAAATTTAATTTTCAGATTCTTTAACTGAGAATTGTGAATTGAATGAGATTTTTCTGTAAATTGTTTTAACATAAAATAACATATGTATTATTCCATATTACATAGAAGTTTAAAATTAGATTTCTAATATTGTGTATGCATTTCTAAATACAATGGTAACACTAATAAAATATGTAAAAGCATAATAAATGGCACACCACATATTTTTATTTTTATGTGTTTAGTGTAGAATAGTTTTAAATTTACAGAAAAATTATCAAGATAGTTCAGAGTTCCCATATACCAAGCACTTATTTATCTCTATTGTTAACATCTTACATTAGTATGGCATAATTGTCACAACTAATAAACTGATAATGATGCATTACTTCACACAGTATTAAGATTTTATTAGCGTTTACCCAATATCATTTTTCTATACCAGCATTCCATCTGGGATACTACTTTCATCATGTCTCCTCAGATTCCTCTTGGGTGTGGCAATATCTCAGATGTTCCTTGTTTTTGATGAACTTGGAGGATTTATAGAGTACCAGTTGGAAATTTTGTAGAATGTCCCCTCAACTATAATTTATTTGAAGTTTTTCCTTCATGAATACCCTGGAAATAGGGGTTTGAGGGACACAGACGCAAAACTAAAATGCTAATTTTATCATATGGTATCAAGGATACATTCTGTCAACATGATATATTACTGTTAATCAAAACTATGGTCATATTTTTCATTCTTTTCACTTATTCACATTATAATCAACCTATATATTGTTACTTTATAACGTTTGTCATATTTTTCATTCTTTACACTTACCCGCATGTAATAATCAATATGTAGTTACTTAATTTACCTTTAAATCAAATTAGAAAAGTAAAAAATAATAACTTTATTTATTCTTTCTCCAACACTTTCTTTCTTTTTTATAAGTATTTTCAAGTTTCCCACCCATATAAGCTTCCATCTGCCTGAAAAACTTCTAATGTGTCTTTTACAGGGAAGTTCTGGGAATGATTTTTTTTTTTTCATTTTTGTTTGTCTGTGTAACCTACATTTCATTCAGTTTTGAAAAATAATATCATTGGATGTATGCACAGTATTACAGATGGTGAATTTTTCTTTCAACACTTGAAAAAGTTCACTATGCTCTCCTCTTGCCTGATGTAATCTGTACCCTTGTTTCTGGAAAGATAAGATGTTTTTCATCTAGCTTATTTCAAGATTTTCTTTTTGCTTGTGCTTTATTGTAGTTTCAATATGATATGCCTTATGTTTTGCTGCTGTTTCCTGTTTTAGTTTGTTTGCTTTTATTGGTGGGAGTATATTCTGCTTGGTGCTCTCTTGTTTCCTAAATATGTAGCTTGCAGTCTGCCATTAATTTTGGAAAGTTTTTCACATTAATATTTTAACTATTTCTTTTGCTGCATGTATTTGTTTTTGTTTTTCTTTTTGTAGTCCCAATGTAAGTTATATCTTTGGAAATTGTCAAACAATTTTTTGAGGTTTCCTTTTTTCTCTTTCTCTGTATTGTAGTTTGGGAAATTTTATTGATGAATCTTCATGATTACTAATTATTTTCACTTAAGTGGTGAATATACATATGATGATACTCATATGATATGGACCCATCAAAGTAATTATTTATTTCTATTAAAATGTTTTTTATTTCTACTATTTCCTTTTGTTTTTTTCTTAAAATTGTGTTTTCCCTTTGACATTACCCAGGCATTCTTGTATGCTATATCCTTTCTAAGTATAGCATTTTACATATTAATAATAGTTACTTAAAATTTCCTGTGTGATGATAATTCCAATATCTGCATGATATCTGATTTTCGTTCTAATTCTTGCTCTGTCTGTTCAGTTGTTTGTGCCTTTTGATGTTGAAAACTTGACATTGTTTATTGGGTAAATAGATGCAAAGAGATATAGTGTGAAGATCTATGTTAATATGATAGGGAATTGGACTGTGTTTAATGTTTACTGTTTATAGGTGTCAGAGGCTTCACATTTCATTGGTTTTTTCACATTGAATTTTTGCTTTTTTTCACATTGTATTTTTAGCCTTTATATGGAGTCTGTGACTTCCAGCTTTTTCAGATTTAAAAAACCTTTTTTTTAAGTAAAGTTCAAATTAATATTAAGAACCACCATTAAAACTATTTTAAAATGTATGATACAGTGGTTTTTAATATATGTTAAATCTTGTTCAATCATCACCACTATATGATCATATAAATCACTCTGAAAAGAAATTCCATCTTATTAGCAGTTATGACCAATTTTGTCTACTCCATATGTCTTAGCAACTACTGATCTACTTTCTGTTGTCTTTGCATTTGCCTATCTGGATATTTCATAGAAATAAAATTACACAAAAAATATGTGGCCTTCTATGTCTGACATATTTCACTTAGAATAATGTTGTCAAGATTCATCTATGTTGTAGTATATACAAGTATTTTATTCCTTTTTATGGCTGAATAGTATTTCATTATAAAGTGATAAACTGTACTTGTTCAACAGCTAATGGGCATTTGGGCTATTTTAGCTTTTTGGATATTTTGAATTTGCTGTTATGTACATTCTTGCACAAGTTTTTCTAAATGGTACAATTTCGAGCACTTTCAGTTTTAATCCCCTCTTACTGGATCTCTTTTAATGTGGTAGTAAGGTGTCGGGGAGAGAAAGCCTTCTATATATATATCATTCTTTTTGGTGAGATGTGTCTTTGGGCTACAACTTGCATAAGTATTTCCTCATTGCAGTCTTTTTCTGCCCCATTTTTCCTACTCTTGTTCCTGGCTGCAGTATATTCAGTTTATTTTCATGACCTTCTACTTGTCAACTACTGTATTAGTGCATTTTTATGCTGCTGATAAAGACATACCCAAGACTAGGTAATTTATAAAGAAAACTGCCCTCAGTCCCCCCCACTGCCCTCTCTTCTGTGCTTGTTGGTGCCCAACGTCCATAGGGGACCAAGGCAGCAGGGGGTGGCTGCCACGTTAGCACTGCCCTGAGTGCGTGCACACCTGGCCAGTTCGTGAGGGCAGTGGGCTCTGTTACTACTTTTTTCTGAACCAGAGCAGGCACCAGAAGCGGGGAGAGGCCAGGGAGTGGGAGCAGGCACTTCAAAGCCTACATGAGCAGGGGAGCTTCCTGGACCCCCGAGAGTGCAGGGATGCTTGGGTCCAGAGCCATGGCTGGGTGGCCACAGCTGTGCCCGGGAGTGTGAGGGGGCTCCCACTCAGCCAACCTAATAGGGAGCGCGGCTCCCGCCTGTTCCTGTCCCCCTCCAGCTTCGCTGAGCCACAGCCATGGCTGCACCTTCCCCACTGCAGCTGGCATCCCTAGAGTGGCTGCTCCTGACGCACCTACTGCTGTTGTCATTATGATCTCCATTTTCACATTAGTGCTGGTCTGTTGTATATAAACTGCAAAGAGAGAGGGGAGGATGAAGGTATCTGAATTCCTACCCTGTTATGACTGGGAACTGTTTTTAAGGTTAATCTGCGGTCTTCTTGGCCAAGAAGGGGTTCATTCAGTGGATGGTAGAGTAGGATTTTATTTCTAGTTCTCATTAGAAACATCAGTATGTAATTCAAAGAAAAACCTAAAAGTACTCTATAAGTATTAGCAAAAGAACTTACTGTATTCTGTCAAATATAATGTGTGATGTAGTTCTCTACTGCCAGTGAATGTGAGATGAGATTCCCATTAAAATGGAATCTACTAATTAAACCACATTTTGGCACTATGGAAGCTGGAGCCGATAAGTCATGAATTATATTCAAGGCTATGCAAGTTACCACATTTTTTTGTTTTCCTACAAATGGTTCCTTGATAGACTAACAAAATTAAAAGCTTGATTTTATTTTTTTTCTTAAGGACTTGTTATAGACGACTTAAAAAAATAAGTTATACGTGTTTGGCTTCAGTCCAGGGTTAAATATGGACTCTTTTCTATCATATGGTACACCCCTGTGATAACTGTGTCTCTAGTTTGAACTCTAGTCAATAATCAAAACCGAATTTGTGAAAAATAAATAAATAAGGAAATTCTACCCTAGCCCAAATAGAGAATCTTAGATATGATACCAAGCGGTTGCCCATAACTGTCATCACTACCCAAAGATCTCATATGAGTTAGATTTGAATAGAGAAGCACACTCATTTAAAGGACTGATTTCACCGTTTTGCAACTTGTTGCAAAATAAGTGTTTGTTTGTTTGTTTGTTTTCATTATTTAAAACTGACCAAGAAAAGTTTGCCTTAGGAGTCATCTAAGTCCTTTTTCAAGACTTAAGTCTTCTGGTCCTTTTTCAAGAAAAAAATGTCTTAATGGCATTACTGATCAGGAAATGCAAGACATGTAATTCCACATAAGATAAGTTTAAACCAAAAAAAAAAAAAGGTATTGATCAATCATATAGCAAAGTGGTACTTTAAACTTGTTTGATTTGAAGTCCGTGTAAACCAAAAACTCAACAATCATTAAGTACTCAGGATTATTACATTAAAAAATATGGTTGGTTTGTTTTTTGATCTATTTGTCTAAAGGCCTACTCAATTCTTTTCTTTTTAATACTTGATTTATTTAAGAGTCATGGAGATCTTTCTGTTTGTTTTTTTTCTTTAGACTTTTTCTTCTAAATATGATTATGCTCTAATTTGGACTAACCTTTCCTTTACACACACACATTTTCCTAATCAATTCATTGCAAAAAGCTGGTATACACTTTCCAATTGCTAGGCAAAATTACAACCCATTTTTTTTCTCCCAAGTTTCTTCCTAACAGGTAACACGAAATCTTTCTAAAAACGTCTCAATTTTCTCATTCAAGCCTCTATTTAACTTTCATCACTCATGTAAAACTTACTTTGCTTTTCACAAATGCTAATTTCATACTTTTGTTAATTATCATTTTTCTTTAGCCAATTTTTACAATAGTTATTTTGAAGTCACCTAAAAACAAAAAGGAGATAAAATACGTATTCTAACAATACTCACCGTTTGAAAATTCTTATTAAAAGGAAAATAATTCACAATAAATTTTTATCTGTAGCAACACCGCAAAATTTGACTAAATAATTTTATGCTGTAGTTTATACTTAAAGAAATAAAAGAAAATTCTTATAATTTTGGTAAGTCCTAGCAAAGATACTAGTAAAATGTTAGGAAGGACATTGTTTTGGCAATGCTGTCACATAATAGGTATACATTTCTCTGGTTTTTCGCTTTTCTTCTTTATTTCTCCTTAGTCATCAATTCTACTTGCATTCTACTTTTTATCCCTGGAAGGCATGTTTTTTTTTTTTTTTTTTTTTTTTTCACATGTACTACTGCAGAGTTGTGCTATTAGATTAGATTATTATGTGCTTGGTCATTCAAAAAGTTCTTGTGGTTCTTGGGACTACAATATGGAAGGTGAAATAATCATCTTTTTTTTTCTTATTTCTTGCTATTTTCACTGCATTTGGCATTCTATATGGCTATATAAACATCTATTATCCTTTTGGTTCTCAGTTTTTTTGTTTTGTTCTGTTTTGTTTTGTTTTGTTTTTTGCCAAGTATATTATCCCACAGGGAAACATTGCAATTCCTTTGTTTCATTTTTGTTTCTATTATGCACTACTTATCTTAAGCTAAGTTTGTCAATTAGCATTCAGTACCACATATCATAAGAAGAAGAACATAGGCATTAAGTAGCCATATTTGCCACTTTTTCAAGCAGCTTTCATTCCAGGAATAGTTTTTTTTTCCTAGAGTTGTAATCAAGTTGCTGTTTTTTTCAAGTCACGTTTTCATTAAAATTATTTATTAAATAGCACTGTGTAGTGGCCTGGAAATCAGTGGACCAAACTGGAAATCAGTACCAAAGTTGTCATTTTGCCACTATCTTGCTAAGGTAGTAGACAAATTCATTAACCTAGGTAAACTTCTAATTTCTTAGCCATAAAATTAAATGGCTGATTTAGAGAAAAAAAGCAAATATTTATATTTTGGTTTACATAGTGTTTTTACTGAAGAAAATGCATTTCATTTTCATTTACAAAAATTGTAGATGTCTTGGCTTGAATATTGTATAAATATCAATTACTTAAACTTATATTTAACCAAATATTTTGTGTTCAGAGTGGTATTAATGAGGCTCCAGGAGCAGAACAAGCTATATCTTGAATAGCTTAAAAAAATATATAAAATTTAATGGATACGGCCAGGTGTGGTGACTCATGTTTGTAATCCCAGCACTTTGGGAGGCTGAGGTGGGAAGATCATCTGAAGTCAGGAGTTCAAGACCAGCTTGGCCAACATGGTGAAACCCTGTCTCTACTAAAAATACAAAAATTAGCCAGGCCTAGGGCATGTGCCTATAGTCCCAGCTACTCAGGATGCTGCGGCAGGAGAATCTCTTGAAGCTGGGAGGCAGGGGTTGCGGTCAGCCAAGATCATGCCACTGCATTCTAGCCTGGGCAACAGATCAAGACTCTGTCTCAAAAAAGCAAAACAAAATGAAGTAAAAAAGAAACATTGATGGATAAGCAAGAGCAACCTAATTGCAATACAGAACGATAGTGCATATTAATTGACAAAACAAATCATGCTAAAATTGAAAGCACCAAGTGTTCATATGAAAGAGTGAATATTGTGGGCTGCAATAATCTGAGAAATAAGTCATAGAGAATATAGCACCTTAAGGCAGAATCAAATCATATAAAGTAATTGAATAAATGACACAGATAGACGTTATCATTTACCTATATATTTAGGGTTTGTGTGTTGATATTGAAGTTTTAATAGAAAACATTCATTTGCCAGAATAATATCTGTTTCATTCTTTCCATTTTTAATTTTAAAAGATTGTGCCATTCTAGTATCTTATTGCAGTTGCATTTTCCAGATTAATGAGATAAATTAAGATTAACTGTTCATAGTGATTTGTACATTTTCTTTTGTAAAGTGTTTATTCAAATTCTTGGTCATTTTTCTGTGGAGTAATCTATCTACAATCAGATAACATTGTTATTTTTGTAATAATCCTTCTAAATTTGCTGTATAAATTGTTGAAATGACTACCTGAATTAAAGTTATGAGCAATTTTAAATTTACCTAGACTCCATAAAGGTGATTATTGCTTACCATTTTGCTTTACTTTCACTCATCATGTCAGGAATTATACCCAAAGTGTTTGAAACAGTAGTGAGTGCTTCATTTTACTGAGTTCAGTATACCTAAAACATGTATTTGAGGGCATAATATGTTATGTTAACTTACGAAGAAAACATATTTTTTAGTTAAATGTATGGAAATGGTGAGTAAAGAAAAGTTTTTAGTCTTTCTATAATTATTAATAAAGCAATAATACAACTGAATAATGCATGTTATAAAATGTCAAACGGGATTTGAGGCCAGATTTCAGTACATCTGTCATACTGCGAAAATAACTATTCTAAAGCTTTTTGATCCCCTATAAAAAGATATCATTATTGCAGGATTAAATTCTGTAATATAAGTAAATCATATTGCTCTGAAAACCATTCGTATTTTTGAAATAACATCACTGCAAACTTTATGTCAATAAATAAATGAAAATATTAATAGGATGTAGTATAAAAGATGCTTTTTCAAAAGTGATGACTAGAACTAGAATTGTATAAATTTTAGAATGGAGAGAGATAAAATAAATTTGTTTAAAACTTATTTCCCTAGTAATACAAGAAAATAAACAAAAAGTTGGATACTGAGCATAAATATGGCCTAGGATCTCTTCCAAATCTCAATTTTTATATTTAATTAGTATTCAAACATTTACACTACAAAGCTTTTTGTAAGTTAAAACAAGTGATAAAATGAAATGCATTAGGAGAAAATCTGTATTTGGTATACATTCATAGAAAAAATACCATTTAAATGATAATTTGAAAATCAATGAAAGTAGAGTAGATATTTTGTTTAGGGAAGGCTGAAACACACTTTGTGATGTGAAAAATATTCAGGTGAAACTGATTTTAAAAAAAGGTAATGGAAGGACATTGTCTTTAGGTGGACTGAATGGGCACGAAGAAAGAGAGGGGTGATTCAAAGATTTTGCCAGAGATGGTGGGTGAAAAGGGCATTAAAATTCAGGGAAGGATTTAGAAGTGCAAATCTCACCACAGGTTAAATTAACTAATGGTACTGTATATAAATTTCAAAAAAATAAAAACATTGGCCCATGAAATTTAATTGAAATACTAGGTTGTATATAATAATGCTTAAATATTATTTTGTAAAGACACAGTTGAAAAATTCTAAATAACTGACAGTTAAAAGAAGTTAAGAGTATTAACAATTAAATACATACACATTATATGGAGACATGCTTCTAACAGAATCTGAAGGTTTAGCCATTTCAAAAACTAAATATTTGGAAACATTTAAATATATAAAAGTATGTATATGTTTCAATATATAGTCTGCATATATTTTAACCATAATGTTATTCATCGAGATAGCACTTGAGAAAAAGCGTGCTGTGTGGTTTAAAATGATACAGCTTGCCTTTCACTCCACTTCACTAGACTATCTATAATTTTAAGAAATAATGTCAAATTGATTAATCATTTGGAATACAATTTTCTTAATATAATAGCTTTCACCTATTATTGTGATGATTCTAATTATAAATCTATAGACAAATGTAAAATAAGCAGACATTATTTTTTTACTTAAGGGTGATGTGATAAAATGCAATATTTCATGTTAATTATATTATAAAATTGTTCTTAACATAATAAATGACATAAGAAATACATTAAATTTAGAAATGCTTTAATTACAGTCACGGCATATGGGGATACTGAAATGCATAATGGAAAAGTTTTAAGCCTGGTGGATTTCAGTCACTGTCAACTTCTAGGCATTACACATCTGGAGGTGGCACTTGGCCTAGTGCCACTATGAGTATCAATCACAAAATAGTAGGCATTTATTGACTATTCTAATATGCATTTCTTTCAGACTTATAAGAGGCTGAGTATCATAATAGCCAGGAGATTTTGTCTCTTCCTGATGTATGCACATGTTTAGCATATCTGGGAGCTACAGTGCAGTAGGCCAAGATCTAGGTTCTAAATCTAATCTAGATTGAAAATGTTGACTTGTACTCACTTGATTTATTCTCACGTTGGCTTACTACTGGATCAGTGAATGAGTAAAAGAAAGGATACACAAAGTAATGATACTGGTAAATGAAAATTGATTCCTGAGTTCTTACAAGTTTTTGCAAGTGAAGTAAAAAATGTGGAGAGCCGTACAACTTACAGCAATAAATTATCACTGACTTTTGTCTTTTATAGCATGTGATTTGAGAAACAATTCAAATGTATCAGATGTGATACAATATTTGTCTTTCCTTTTTAAATAAATGGCTTGTTACAAATAAATGTTCAGCAGCAATAACTGTTGAAGTAAAATTTGTATAAAATACCCCACTTACATAAATACACATTCAATAATCATAACTTTATAACATTAATATAAACAAGGAAAATTAACATAAATAAAACTATATGCATCATTTGCTCTGCAGTAATGTAAAATTAACTGATTCATCATTAATATTATAAACCAGGCAGTATGACACACATTTTTTTCAGTATATTAAAACTGGGTAATTGCAGATAATAAAAAAAGAATGTAAAATATATAAACTCTCCAAAAGCCTTAGAAAAGTACAGTAGTGTATACAATAATCATTCATTCCAAAGTCTTCCACTTGTCTCAAATTGGCCACAAGCTCTGTCTTAGAAGAACTTTATGACTAAATATAATATAATGTGAGCCAGAATTATGTAGCTGGCACATCACATTACTTCATTAACAGCCTCCATCTGCTTTTCTAACTGAAATTTCTGATGATGATGACAATCCTCTGCCCTCATTTTCATAATTGAATACTGCTATGGTTTGGATATTTGTCCCCTCAAAAATTCATGTTGAAATTTAATTTCCAATGTGGCATTACTAAAAGGTGGAGACTTTAAAATGTGATTGGGCCATGAGGGCTCTGCTCTCCTAAATGAATTAATCCATGGATAGATTAATGAGTTAGTGAATTAGTAGATCAATGGGTTAGTGGCTTTTCACAGAAATGAGACTGGTGACTTTATAAGAAAAGAGAGACCTGAACTAGGATGCTCAGCCTCCTCACCATGGGATGCCCTGTGCCATGCTGGAACTCTGGAGAGTGTCCTCATCAGCACAAACGTTCTCACTTTTAAACTTGGGTTCTCAGCCTCCATAACTATAATGAATTTATTTTCTTAAAAATTACTCAGTTTCAGGTATTCTGTTATAATCCAATAAAACAGACCAAGATAAGAAAAATGGTATCAGAAGTGATATCAATTTATAATAACACTCAGTAATGTAGAAATGGCTCTGGAACTGGATAATGGGTAGTGGCTAGAAGAATTTGGAGGATGAGGCTAGAAAATCCTGCATTATGGTGAAGGTTTAGAAGACAACAAGACTAGGGAAAGATTGAAAACCCTTAGAGATAGTTCAGTGGTCATAACCAGAATGTTGATAGAAATATGGACATTAAAGAACATTCTTATGAGTTTTCAGATGGAACTGAGGAACAAGGCATTGGAACCTGGAGTAAAGCCCATCCTTGCGATTAACTGGCAAAGAACTTGACTTCATTGTGTTATTTTGTCCATGCCCTTGGGCTTTATGGAATGCAGAACTTAAGATCAATGAATTAGGGTATCCGGTAGAATAAATATCTAAGAAGCAAAGCATTCAGGCTGCTGCATTACTACTTTTAATGACTCACATTAAACTATGAAGAGAAACAGTTTTGAAGATGGAATTTCTAATCCAAAGACAAGCATATCAGAAATATTTGAAGAACTCTAAGCTTGGCCACATAACGAGTGAAAGAGTGTGTTAGGAGAAAAAACCAAGGATGTGGCCCAGGGACTATTTGAAAAAGATTCTAGCAAGGATAGAAGGGAACCAGGTCCTATTCTGCAGAGGCCTAGGAGGAATAAATGGCCCTTTCGGTTGGGCCCAGGGCCTTGCTACTTCGTGCAGTCTTAGGACTTGGTGCTCTGTGTGCTAGCCATGGTTAAAAGGAGCCAACGTACAGCTCAGGCTGTTGCTTCAGAGAGTGCAAGCCCCAAGGTTTGGTGGCTTACATGTGGTGTTGTGCCTCAGGGTGCACAGAAATCAAGAATTGAGGTTTGGGAACCTCTGCCTAGATTTCAGAGGATGTATGGAAAGACGTGGATGTCCAGGAAGAAGTTTGCTTTAGGGATGGAACCCTCATGGAGAAACTCTGTTAAGTCAGTGCAGAAAAGAAATGTGACATCAGAGCCCCCACACAGAGTCCCCACTGTGGCACTTCCTAGTGGAGCTGTGAGAAAAGGGCCACCATCCTACCGACCCCAGAATGGTAGCTCCACTAACATCTTGCACTGTGTGCCTGGAAAAGCCAAAGACGCTTAATGCCAGCCTGTGAAAGCAGTGGTGGAGCTCCTGAAGACCATGGAAACCCACCTCTGGCATCAGAGGTTCTTCATGAGAGCTCCACCCCTAAAGCAAACTTCTTCCTAGGCCTCTGGGCCTGTGATGTGAGGGGCTGCCATGAAGACCTCTGACATGTTCTGGAGACATTTTCCCCATTGCACTGGTGATTAACATTTGGGTCCTCCTTACTTATGCAAGTTTCTGCAGCCAGCTTGAATTTCTTCTCAGAAAAAAAAAATGTTTTTCTTTTCTATCACATTGTCAGCCTGCAATTTTTAAAAAATCTTTTAGGCTCTGTTTCCCTTTTAAGGATAAGTTTCAACTCCAAACCATATATTTGTGAATGCATAAAACTGGATGCTTTTATATGTTTTTTTTTTTTTTTGGCCAGAGTTTTGCTTTTATCGCCCAGGCTGCTGTGCCATGGCACAGTCTTGGCTCACTGCAACCTCTGCCTCCCAGGTTCTAGTGATTCTCCTGCCTCAGCTGGCATTACAGGTGCCCACGACTATGCCTGGCTAATTTTTGTATTTTTAGTAGAGACGGGGTTTCACCATGTTAGCCAGGCTGGTCTCGAACTCCTGACCTCAGGTGATTCACCCACCTCAGCCTCCCAAAATGCTAGGATTAGAGGAGTGAGCCACCATCCCCAGCCAAAATTGAATGCTTTTAAGAGCACCCAAGTCACATCCTGAATGCTTTGCTGCTTAGAAATTTCTTACACCAGATATCCTAAATCATCTCTCTCAAGTTGAACATTTCACAGATCTCTAGATCAGGGGCAAAATGCCACCAGTGTCTTTGCTCAAACATAGCAAGAGACACTTTTATTTCAGTTTCCAACAAGTTCCTCATCTCCATCTGAGACCACCTCAGCCTGGACTTCATTGTCTATATCTCTATAAGCATTTTGGTCAAAAACACTCAACAAGTCTCTAGGCAGTTCCAATCTTTCCCACATGTGTCTGTCTTCTTCTGAGCCCTCCAAACTGTTCCAACCTCTGCCTGTTACTCATTTCTAAAGTCAATTCCACATTTGCAGGTATCTTTGTAGCAGCACCCCCCTCTCTGTGGTACTTATTTATTGAATTAATTCATTCTCACACTGCTATAAAGAAATGCCCGAGACTGAGTAATGTATTGCTCACACTGCTATAAAGAAATACCCGAGACTGAGTAATGTATTAAAGAAAGAGGTTTAATTGATTCATGGGTTCTCATTCATGGGGAGACATTAGGAAACTTACAATGATGGTGGAAGGCAAAGGAGAAGCAGGCACCTCTTCACAGTGCAGCAGGGTGGAGTGAGTGCCAGCAGGGGAAATAATGTATTCTTATAAAACCATGAGAGCTCATTAGAGTCACTCAGTATGACAAAACAGCTTGGGGTAAATTACCCCCATGATTCAATTACCTCCACCTGATCCCTCGACATATAGGGATTAAGGGAATTATAATTGATGAGATTTTGGGTGAAGACCCATCCAAACCATATTATATACTATATATACTATATATAATATAAATATTTCAAAGATATTATATACATATTAAAGGACGAGTGACAAAAACATGGTAATTTGAAATATTAGCATGTTTTTGTCACTCGTCCTTTAATAAATATCTGGGAAACTCTCAGTTATAGGTAACCCTCAACACAACTACAAATTTAGTTGTATAAGTTTATTTTGATAAAGTAAGTAAATATGTAACTGTTTGGAATCCTGTGCAGTTCTCCTCTCCAGTCCTGTGGAACTCATATTCCTGTATTTGCAAAACAGATTTAAAATGAAGATGATTGCAAACATGAAGCTAAAAAAAATTGTTCTTTCCATTTTTGTATTTTATATAAATATGTGTAGTACTTATGTGTTGAAAATGTAAAATCTCAAAGTCATTTACTCTTTTATGTACGTGGTGTCCTTATTGTCATTACATCTCACGTTCAGCTGTTACCATCATGTTGCATCATAAATCAGATTCATGAAGTAGACACAAGCAGTCAAATGCAGAAGTGTTAGAATTTCTTTAAAAATAGAATACTCTCTGATTTCTTTAATTAACATTTAATGACTAATTAAATATGCTAGAAAATAATAATTATATCATAAGTATCCAAAGTTTCACAAGCTATTCTGTAAAAATTTGCTTAGAAATCAACTTATTCAAGTTATATCATATATTCATTTTTTATTTTTATTTTTTATTTTTCCATAAGTTACTGGGGTACAGGTGGTATTTGATTACATGCGTAAGTTCTTTAGTGGTGATTTGTGAGATTTGGTGCACTCATCACCCATGTATACACTGCACCATATTTGTAGTCTCCTATCCCTTGCACCCCTTCCACTCTTCCCCCAAGTACCCAAAGTCCATTGTATTATTCTTATGCCTTTGTGTCCTCAAAGCGTAGCTCCCACATATCAGTGAGAACATATGAGGTTTGGTTTTCCATTCCTGAGCTATATCACTTAGAATAATAGTCTCCAGTCTCATCCAGGTCGCTACAAATGCTGTTATTACATTCCCTTTTATGGCTGAGTAGTATGTAGTATTCCATCATACATATATGTGTGTATATATATATACACACACACACACATATATATACACACACACACACATATATATACACATACATACCAGTTTCTTTATCCGTTCGTTGATTGATGGGCCTTTGGGTTGGTTCCATGATTTTGCAGTTGTGAATTGTGCTGCTATAAACATGAGTGTGCAACCATCTTTTCAAATAATTACTTCTTTTCCTCTGTAGTGGGATTGATGGATCAAATGGTAGTTCTACTTTTAGTTCTTTAAGTAATCGCCACACTGTTTTTCATAGTAGCTGTACTAGTTTACATTCCTACCAGCAGTGTAGAAGTGTTCCCTGTTCACCACATCCATGCCAACATCTACTGTTTTTTTATTTTTTCATTATGGCCATTCTTGAAGGAGTAAGGTGGTATCACATTGTGGTTTTGATTTTCATTTCCCTGATCATTAGTGATGTTGAACATTTTTTTCATATGTTTGTTGGCCATTTGTATACCTTCTTTTGAGAATTGTCTATTTGTGGCCTTAGCCCACTTTTTGATGAGATTGTTTTTTTCTTGTTGATTTGTTTGAGTTCATTGTAGATTTTGGATATTAGTCCTTGTCAGATGTATAGATTGTGAAGATTTTCTCCCACTCTGTAGGTTGTCTGTTTACTCTGCTGTCTGTTCCTTTTGCCGTGCAAAAGCTCTTTAGTTTAATTAAGTCTCAGCTATTTATCTTTGTATTTGCTTTTGAGTCCTTGGTCATGAAATCCTTGCCTAAACCAAAGTTTAGAAGGGTTTTTCCAATGTTATCTTCTAGAATTTTTACAGTTGCAGATCTTAGGTTTAAGTCCATCTTCATTTGATTTTTGTATAAGATGAGAAAAGAGGATCCAGTTTCATTCTACTACATGTGGCTAGCCAATTATCCCAGCACCATTTGTTGAAAAGGGTGTCCTTTCTCCACTTTATGTTTTTGTTTGCTTTGTCAAAGATCAGCTGGCTGTAAGTATTTGGGTTTACTTCTGGATGCTCTATTCTGTTCCATTGGTCTATGTACCTGTTTTTATACCAGTACCATGCTGTTTTGCTGATTATGTCCTTATAGTATAGTTTGAAATCAGGTAGTGTAATGTCTCCGGATTTGTTCTTTTTGCTTAGTCTTGCTTTGGCTATGTGGGCTGTTTTTTGGTTCTGTATGAATTTCAGATTGTTTTTTCTAATTCTCTGAAGAATTATAGAGGTATTTTGATGGGGATTGCATTGAATTTGTAGATTGCTTTTGACAGTATGGTCATTTTCACAATATTAATATTTTATTTTTTGCAGTTATTTTAAAAGTGGTTGAGTTCTTGATTTGGTTCTGTGCTTGGTCACTGTTGGTATATAGAAAAACTACTGAATTGTGTACATTAATTTTGTATCTGGAAACTTTGCCGAATTCTTTTATCAGTTCTAGGAGCTTTCTGGAGGAGTTCTTAGGGTTTTCAAGATAAACAATCATTATCAGCAAACAGTGACAGTTTGACTTCCTCTTTACTGATTAGAATGTCCTTTATTTCTTTCTCTTATCTGATTGCTCTGGCTAAGACTTCCAGTACTATGTTGAAGAGGAGTGGTGAGAGTGGGCATCCTTGTCTTGTGCCAGTTCTCAGAGGAAATGCTTTCAACTTTTCCCCATTCAGTATTATATTGGCGGTGGATTTGTCCCAGATGGCTTTTATTACATTAAGATATGTCCTTTGGATGCTGATTTTGCTGAGAGTTTTAATCATAAAGGGATACTGGATTTTGTTGAATTCTTTTTCTGCATTTATTGAGATGATCCTGTGATTTTTGTTTTTCATTTTGTTTATGTGGTGTATCACATTCATTGACTTGCCTATGTTAAACCATCCCTGCACCCCTGGTATGAAACCCACTTGATCATGGTGGATTATCTTTTTGATATGTTGTGGGACTTGATTAGCTAGTACTTTGTTAAGGATTTTAGCATCTATATTCATCAAGGATATCAGTCTGTAATTTTCTTTTTGGTTATGTCCTTTCCTGGTTTTGGTATTAGGGGTAATGCTGGTTTCATAAAGTGAATTAGGGAGGGCCCCTTCTTTCTCTACCTTGTGGAATTGTGTCTTAAGGATTGGTATCAATTCTTCTTTGAATGTCTGGTAGAATTCTGCTGTGAATCCATCTGGTCCTGGACTTTTTTTTTTTTTTTGTAATTTTTTAATTACCGTTTCAATCTCACTGATTGTTATTGGTTTGTTCAAGGTACCTAATTTTTCCCGATTTAAGCTAAGAGGGTTGTATTTTTCCAGGAATTTATCCATCTCTTCTCGGTTTTCTAGCTTGTGTGCATAAAGATGTTCATAATAGCCTTGAAAGATCTTTTTTATTTGAGAGGTGTCAGTTGTAATATCTCCTGTTTCGCTTCTTAGTGAGGTTATTTAGATTTTCTCTCTTCTTGGTTAATCTTGCTAATGGTTTATAAATTTTATTTATCTTTTTGAAGAACCAGCTTTTTGTTTCATTTGTCTTTTTTGTTTGTTTGTTTCAATTTCATTTAGTTCTGCTAAGATCTTCATTATTTCCTTTCTTCTGCTGGGTTTGGGTTTGGTTTATTCTTGTTTGTCTAGTTCCTTGAGGTGTGACCTTAGATTGTCTGCTTGTGCTCTTTCAGATTTTTTGATGTAGGTGTTTAGGGCTGTGAATTTTCTCTTAGCAACATCTTTGCTGTATCCCAGAGGTTTTGATAGGTTGTGTCATTATTGTCATTCAGTTCAAAGAATTTTTAAATTTCAATCTTGATTTTGTTTTTGATCCAATGCTCATTCAGAAGCAGGTTATTTAATTTCCATGTATTTGCATGGTTTTGAAAGTTCCTTTTGGAGTTGATTTCCAGTTTTATTCCACTGTGGTCTGAGAGAGTGCTTGATATAATTTTAGTTTTCTTAAATTTATTGAGGCTCATTTTATTGCCTATCATATGGTCTATCTTGGAGAAAGTTCCATGTGCTGTTGAATAGATTGTATATTCTGTGGTTGTTGGATGAAATGTTCTATATATATCTGTTAAGTCCATTTTTTCCAGGGCATGGTTTAAGTCCATTGTTTCTTTTTTGACTTTCTGTCTTGACAACCTGTCTAGTGCTGTTAGTGGAGTACTGAAGTCCCCCAGTATTATTGTGTCACTCTCTCTCTAGTTTCTTAGGTCTAGTACTAATTATTTTATAAATTTGCAAGCTCCAGTGTTAGGTGCACATATGTTTAGAATTCATATATATATATATATATATATATATATATATATATATATATATGTTTGGACAAGGCCTTTTATCATTATATACTGTCCCTCTTTGTCTCTTTTGACCACTGCTGCTTTAAAGTTTGTTTTGTCTGATATAACAATAGCTACCCCTGCTCACTTTTGGTGTCCTTTTGCATGAAATGCCTTTTTCCTCCCTTTTCCTTTATGTGAGTCCTTATGTGCTAGGAGAGTCTCTTCGCAGATAGTTGGTTGCTAACTTCTTATCCATTGTGCGGTTCTGTAAATTTTAAGTGGAACATTTAGGTCATTTACATTCAACGTTAGTATTGAAATGTGAGGTACCGTTGCTTTCATCATGCTCTTTGTTGCCTGTGTACTTTGTTTTATTTGTATGTTTTTTGTTTCTGCTTTTTAGCTTGTATTTCTGTTTTATAGGTCCTGTGTGATTTATGCTTTAAAGAGGTTCTGTTTTTATGTGTTTGTTTCAAGATTTTGAGCTCCTTATAGCAGATCTTGTAGTGGTGGTTTGGTAATGGCGAATTCTCTCAGAATTTGTTATTCTGAAGATGACTGTATCTTTCCTTCATATATAATGCTTAGTTTCACTGGATACAAAATTCTTGGCTGATAATTGTTTGGTTTGAGAAGGCTGAATATAGGTCCCCAATCCCTTCTAGCTTATAGGATTTCTGCTGAGAAATCTGTTGTTAATCTGATAGGTTTTCCTTCGTAGGCAACCTGGTGCTCCTGTCTCTTAAGATTCTTTCTTTTATCTTAACTTTGGATACCCTTATGACAATGGGCCTAGGTGAAGATCTTTTTCGGATGAATTTCCTAGGTGTTCTTTGTTCTTCTTGTATTTGGCTGTCTAGGTCTCTAGCAAGGCTGGAGAAGTTTTTCTCAATTATTCCCCAAATATATTTTCCAGGTTTTTAGAATTCTCTTCTTTCTCAGGCACACAGTTGTTCTTAGGTTTGATCATTTAAAATAATCCCAGAGTTCTTGGAGGCTTTGTTCATATTTTCTTCTTTTTTTCTTTGTCTTTGTTGGATCCAGTTAATGTGAATACCTCGTCTTTGAGCTCTGAATTTCTCTCTTCTACTTGTTCAATTCTATTGCAGAGACTTTCCAGAGCATTTCACCTCTCTAAAAGTGTGTGGCCAAAGTTTCCTCAATTTTTTGTTGTTTTTTCTTTAAGTTATCTATTTCCAAGAATATTTATCCCTTCACTTGTATCATTTTTTGGATTTCCTTGCATTGGGCTTCATCTTTCTCTGGTCCCTCCCTGATTACCTTAATCACTAACCCTCTGAATTCTTTTTTAGATAAATCAGGGATTTCTACTTGGTTTGGGTCCATTGCAGTTGAACTAGTGTGATTTTTTGGGGGTATTGAAGAGCCTTGTTTTGTCACATTAGCAATGTTGGTTTTCTTGTTCCTTCTCATTTGGGTGGCCTCTGTCAGAGGGAAGGTATAGGTCTGAAGGCTGTTCTTCAGATTCTTTTGTCCCACGGGTGTTTTCTTGACATACTACTCCCACTTTTCCTATGGATATGGCTTCCTGTAAGCTGAACTGCAGTGATCGTTGTCTCTTTCCTGGGTCTAGCCAACAAGTGAGTCTACACAGCACCAGGCTGATACTGGTTGTTGTCTGTACTGAGTCCTGTGATGTGAATTGTCTATGAGTCTCTCAGCCACGGATACTGGCATCTGTTCCTGTGGAGGTGGCAGAGGGTGCAGTGGACTCCATAAGGGTCCTTACCTTCGGTGGTTTAATGCTCTATTTTTCTGCTGGTTGACCTTCTGCCAGGAGGTAGCACTTTCCAGAAAGCATCAGCTGTAGTAGTGTGGAGAGGAACCAGTAGTGGGCAGGGTCCTAGAAGTTCCAAGATTATATGCCATTTGTCTTCCACTACCAGGGTGAATAGGGAAGGACCATCAGGCAGTGGCAGGGCTAGGCATGTCTAAGTTCAGCCTCTCCTTGGGCTGGGCTTGTTGTGGCTGGGGGGGATGGGGGTGAGATTCCCAGGTCACTGGAGTTGTGTACCTAGGAGGATTATGGTTGCCTCTGCTGAGTCATGCAGGTTTTCAAGGAAGTGGCGGAAAGCCAGCGGTCACAGCCTCAAGTCTATTTCCAGGTGGAGGGTAAGATGGGCTTGAAAACTTGCCTGAGACTTTCCATCTCTCAGCTGTGAGAGAAAAGGACTTTAGTTCTTCCCTGCCTGTGACATCTGCATGCCCGATTCATGCCCTCCCCCGAGTTCTGGCCAGGAGGCTTCTTACCCCGTTAACATTGTTACAAAGTTCAGCTAGAGAATTCCTTCTCCCTGTGGAATTTTACCACTGCTCCTCTGGCCACCCTGTTGATGTATCCTTGTGGTGCCAGGCAGGAATGGGCTGCTTGGGGACCCAGCGAGCTCTCAGGTCCTTTCCGTGGCTTCCTCGTCCCCTGTATTTTGCTGGGCTCTCTAACTTGACTCAGCTCCAGGTAAAGTCAGAAACTTCCCCCACAAATAGACCAGCTTCTCTAGTGAGGATGTGTTAGGGGAGGAGGCTCTCCCTTTCCCATTTCCACAGTTGGGAAACTCACAGTATTTGGGGTGTTTCCTGGGTGCTGCAGGTGCAGTCTACTTCCTTCAGAAGTTCTATGGGTCCTCTCGGGATTGCTTATTTGTTCTTGCCGTCTGTTCGGAGCTAAAATTTACAGTGCAAACCTCCACATGCTTCTCTGTCTGGAGCTGCAATCTAGTTCTGCCTGTCATCCGCCATGTTCCTAGAAATCTTTACAAATTCATTTTTCAATTGTGTATTTTTGCTTGGGTAAGTTCCAGCTAAATCAATTATTAGAGAATGTGCGTAAAAATCTAATTAATTTATAATCAATAATGAAAACTAAGGGTGAAAATAAAAATAATAAAGAATGTGTGACTTCTTCCTCTGCTTTTTTACTATACTCAATACTGATTATTTTGTCAAAATTAAATGAGAGTAGAGAAGAGCTTAATATATATTTGAGTTGTGGTTTTTCTCATTATCTGCCCTTCAATGTCTCTATTTTTTAAAAAATAAATTCTACAAGTATAAACCATTGAATATTATAGAATATTTTATAAGGATATTTTCTAATGTCTCTGAGTATATCTAAAGTAACATAATAGTACATTCTGTAGGAAATGATCTAAACATATTTTCTTTATGGAACAAAATAATTTATCATGGCTATGTAATCCTGCAAAGTATTCAGAGTCCAAAATTACATTGATGTATGCATGATTATCTCTCAAGAAATAAAAATAATCATGTGCTTGGCAAACTATGTAGTAGATTTGATAAAGCTTTGTATTTTGTGTATACTCATTAGACATATTGATATTTAAAACATAGTTTTAGTCATATTTATCACACGTTCAGCTTTTTTGGCATGCCCTGGAAAAGCTAGACTGCTTATTTCATTGAATTATTTTATATGAATGAGAAAAACTAATATACATCATAATAGTGCATAACATGATTTTTAGGATAATTATTTTCAAGCAGTTATAATTGATGTTATTTGGATTTTATTGGTTAAAAAATGCTAATTTTTAATTGTTTATGACTAGATTTTTAAAATAAAGATGTTTCTCCATTATTTAATTTTAGTACTACAAATAAATTAGCTTAATTTCATCATGATAATGAAGAGCTTGCTTCCTACCTTTCTATTCCTCTAGGACATGAGATAATTCTTCTCCCATCATAGTTTTTTCTGCCCCTGAGCTGGTATTATATATGTTGCACAATTCAGAACAATCTTTTCCTTTGTGTAAGCTGGCAGTATCAAGGATTTATGGCAGCTACTCTCTCATGCTAGTGAGGGGAGAATAAGACTCAATGTGTTTTAAAATCAAGTATAAATCAAAGCTGGTGAAAGGCAAAACCTGAAGAAATGCCATACTTTTGTAAAAATATCCAAACTTTTTTGAGTATTTCTTTTTATGCTTTCACCATATGGTTGAGAGCAGAAATAAGATTAAAAAAATACAATGTATAATTTCAAATGATGTCATGTATCTCATTATTACTGACGGCTGATGTAGCTGAATATTTTTTATGTGATTTGGAACAAATCAACTTCCCTTTATCTGATAATGTTTCTTTATATTAAAAAGGAACTTTGAATAAGAAAGGCAGTTCTGTGGAAAGAGCATAAACTTTGATGTCTGAGGCCTATATCCAAATTCCAAGTCATGTTTGGAATGTTTCCTCATGCTTACTTATTATACTTAGTACAAGTTACCCACCTTCTCAGATTCACTGACCTTTGTTTGTATCCTGCGGGTGTTGCGATATGTGAAAAGCATTTCCACTATTCAGAAAAAAACTCAATGTACTAATACTAATAAGGTTATCAAATTTTCCTTTAGAAGATATAACACACTCATGTCTTACAAACGTTGTTTTTGATTAAGCAATACCAAGATGAACTCCCATTTCTGAACAGCAAACTACACAAAAGCAACAATGGAGAAAGAGTTAAGTCTGCATTTCCTCTGCAGAAGTCTTCTCTTTTGTAGCAATTCTAGCACAATTTATCTTTTGAAATGTATGTCATTATAAAGCGATGAGAATTACAAATATCAATTTACAGTAAAACTAAATTTTCTCTTTATATGTTTTATGGTTTCTATATTTATATCCTATCAAGTAATGTAATGTCAGAGCAGTTCTCTGTTCTTCACCAGAAATAGCCCAGTGTTCTCCCAAGTGGCTTGATGGTAGGTTATGTCACATTCCTAACATGTCCTACCTAGAAAGGAATATGACAGGTAGTTTCAAGTGCTAGCAATATTGTTAAATTATGATGCATCTTTTGAAATATCAGTTGAAAAATATACAATATTCTTAGTTGTGTTTCTATTGTTTACTATTTGCAGATTTTCTACTGTGTGGAACACTATTAGTAACATTTATCTTGCTGATTTCAGAATCTGCCACTGAAATAGAATTAGATTTTATTGCAATTTTAATACACACTCGTTTACCTCTATTACTACAAGTAAAACACTATTTATTACTATTCATATTACTATTCTTATTAGTAATATTTAATACTACTAACTCATGACCTGTATTACTATGTTTTAAGGTAAAATGTGCAATCCAATCAAATTGCATGTATTCACTAACTTGACCATTTACCCAACAACCATAATTTTAAACCTAACTTCCAAATTTTGAGTGGAGAACAGGAATGTTGCAGAGAAATATGAATAATAAGAACTTGTAATAAATAGCAATATTTTTGATTATCTGATATTTTTATTTCTTATGCTTTATTTTAAACATATTTTCATAAGCTTACATTTTGCTAGATGTCTATATTTCTTGTATCCTTAACATTGAAATTTTGATTAGTTTTGACCACTCTTGTCTTATTTATTGATATTTTCAGCCATTTATTAGAGTCCATGACAGCAGATATTACCAGTTGGTTAAATGCCTCAGAGGGTTAAGATTTATATTAAAATAACAATCACAATTCAATATCTAAAGGAGAATAGGCTCTGAATTACCTGTTTAAATTTTAGAACAGATATTATTTAAATCAGCATACACAAACTGTGGAAAAAAGAAAAGTGGCATAATAAATAAACTAGTAGTTAATTTTTGCAGACTTGATTTTAATTTGGAAAATAATATAGTTTCTTTACATTAAGGATCACATACAAAGTGAGCATTTTTTCTGCGATTATTTTAAGTATTTACCTATATCATTTTTGAAACTTTTCTTCCATATATACACTGTTGTCCAGCTGACTTTAAACAAAGAATTTCTGATTCTGCTACCCAAGGCAATCACTGTCGGATGTTATAGCATCTTATCAATTTCAAGTGACATAACTGTGTATGTGTCTATAAACACTATAGGGATTATGTTAAATAATACTCAATTACTTTATGGAGGCCCCTCTACCCTTTACTACTGCTTTGTTCAAATTTGTGTTGGTTTCTTTATTATTTTTTAGTTGCTCTATTAGTATTCTTTAAAAAATGGAACTAAATGTCTCATTAGATGAATGAGCTTATTGTCCTGAGAAAGATTCCAGGCTGTGGGTCAAAGAGGGGGGATCCCAGTTAAAGCCTGGCAGATTCTCTTAGTTGAAGAGGCAGGATTGAGAGTCTAGAAAACCCAAAAAGTGTAGAGTAATAGGGAGTATTATCACAGAAAAGGGGCAGCACAGACAGAGAATTCTAGACCACTGTGTCCGGGACTCCCTCAGATATCCAGAGAATACTAATATTTCATGGATTTAAGGAAACTATCCCAGGCCAGTAAAAAGGAAACACCTAAAAAGATTAGAAGAAGCAGAGCCTTCACAATATCAGGAAGAGTGCTAATTCCCACTAATCAAATTTGAAAAATGTTATAATTTATTGAGTATTGGGTAGAGTCCTCAGAAGAATCTTTCTTTAAAAGTGTGGAATAATTAGCTACCTAGGAATACATTTAATCAAGGAGGTGAAAGATCTTTATAAGAAGAACTACAAAACACAGTAGGAAAGAAATTGTAAATGACACAAACAAGTGGAAAAAACTTCCCATGGTCATGGATGGGAAGAATCAATATCCTTTAAAGAGCCATACTGCCCAAAGCAATCTACAGATTAAATGCAATCCTATAAAAACATCAATGTTATTTTTCACATAATTTAAAGATAATCCTAAAATTCATAAGAAACAAAAAAAGAATGTGAATCACCAAAGCAATTCTAAGCAAAAAGAACAAAGCTGGAGACATCACATTATCTGACTTCAAATTATACTACAAGGCTAGATTTAATAGCATGGTAATGGAATAAAAATAAACATGTAGACCAAAGGAGCAGAATAGAGAACACAGAAATAAAGGTACATACTTACAGTCAACTGTTCTTTGACAAAGTTGAAAAAAACACTGGGGAAAGGACACCCTATGTAATACCTGGTGCTGGGAAAATTGGATTGCCATATGCAGAAGTGTGAAAAGGGACTCCTGTCTCTCACCAAATACAAAAATTAGCTCAAGATGAATTAAAGACTTAAGCTCAAGACCTGAAAATATTAAATTATTAGAAGAAAACAGGAAAAATCTTTTCTGAACATTGGCATGGAAAAAGAATTCATGACTAAGACCTCAAAAGCTAAAGGAACACAAAGATGGACAAATAGGACCTAATTAAGCTGAAAACCTGCACAGCAAAATAAATAGTCAATAGCATAAACAGATAAACTACAGAATGGGAGAAAATATTTAAAAGCTAGGCATCTAACAAAAGACTAATATTAAGAATTTATAAGGAACTCAACAACAACAACAACAAAAACAACCCCATTAAAAGGAGGCAAAAGACATGAACACACATTTTTTAAAAGACATACAAATGACCAATAAAAATACAAAAAATGTTCAACATCACTAATAATCAGAGAAATGCATGTTAAAACCTAAATGAGATACCATTTTACACCAGTCAAAATGGCTGTTATTAAAAAGTAAAAATAAAGTAACATGTTGGCAAGGATTCAGACAAAAGGGAATGCATATACACAGTTGGTGGGAATATAAATTAGTACACCCTCTATGTAAAACAGTATGGCAATTTCTCAAAGAACAAAAAATACAACTAACATTTGATCCACTAATCTCACTACTTGGTGTCTACACAAATAATACAGAAAAAATTATAGATAGATAGATAGATCTATCTTTAAATTATGTGAAAAATAACATTGGTGTTTTTATAGGACTGCATTTAATCTGTAGATTGCTTCGGGCAGTATGGCTGCCGGTATAATGTACAGGGGTTGGGCGATGGCTATACTAAAAGCCCAGACTTCACCACTACACAAAATATTCATGTAACAACACTGTACTTGTATTCCCTAAATCTATCTGTCTACATAAAAGCTGTGTCCTAAAAGCTGCTTATGTCTTGCTTGACAAATCTTAAAAACAAGACCTGAAACACCAAACAATTATCAAGTTATTAAATCCCATCCCTGAACAACATTTGAGAATATGTAGAGAACTACAAACTGTTCAGTATGATTTTTTAGAACAGTCACAATTTCTAGCATCATATAAAAAATTACTAGATATGTGAAACTAGAAAAATATGAATGAAAACACAATGTGTCAAAAGTCATGGGATGCAGGTAAATGAATATTCAGAAAGAAATTCTTGTAGCACTAAATGGTTTTATTAAAAAGAATGTAATCAAAGAATGGTGTCAAATTAATGAACCCAGCTTCTCCCTAAATGAATTTAAAAAAAGAGAGAAGGAGAAAGAAAAGAATCTCAAAATGGAGGAAAAGGAAAAAAATAAAGACCACAACAAAAATTGAATTAAAAAGTAGAAAAAGTAGGGGAAATAAATAATAGGAAGTGGATTTTATTGAGAAGGTTAATATGATTGACAAACCTCTGGTCAGAGTAATAAAAACATTTCAGAAATGACAATAGTAATATGAGGAATAAGAGAATGGAAATCATTACAGATACTGCATATACTGATAATAAAGAGCTATTATTTTTAAAACTGCATGCAAATAAATTGTACAATCTTGTTGAAATAGGCTTAATCTTTGAAGAATGCAAGCTATCAAATCTGACTAAAAAAAATAATGTGAATATGTCTATATCTATTGTCCAATAAACACAAATCTGGACTTTAAGGAACTATTTTATTCAGAAGAAATACTATTACAATAGGAAGAACACGAATTTCAGATAACTGCAGGCATTTCAAATTCAAACAAAAAAGGCCTTTCTTTATAGGGTTAAATTAGAAGGAAAGAAAAACAATATTTTAAGGAGAAATTTGCTAAACAAGGGGAAATGATAAGTGAGGTTTAACAGAGACATTGTTTTGCTGTGGTAAGCTGACCCTGAGGATAAGCTGATATGATGGTACTTTCAATTTTTAGAGTTTACTCAGGCTTAGTGACAAGAAAACTTTAGGATCCTGTAGAAAAGAGAGAAGGTTGACTGAAGTTTGTTTAAGACAAAGCAGAGAGTAACAAATGGACGTTTGTGAATGCCTGAACACCGTAAGAGACATTGAACTTGTAGTTAAAACCATTTCACAAAGAAAATTCTGGGTCCAGATAGCTTCACTGGTAAATTCTACCAAACATTTATGAATCAAATAATACCAATGCTAGACCATTTTTCTAGAGAATTAAAGAAGATAGAATAATTCCCAACTCTTTCTATGAGGACATTTTATGATTCATTATTCTAGAAACAAAATCAGACAAGAACAGTTAAAAAATAAGTACAATCCAAAATCTGTCATAAATATAGATACACAACTTCCTAGAACAATTTTAGCAAATCAAATGCACGATTTTATAAAATGAATCAGAATTCATGACCAAATGACTTCTTCCTAAGAGTGCTGGGTTGGCTCAATATTGGAAACTCTGTATCAGAACAAAAAAAGTCTCTTGTTCATTGCTGGTGGGGATACAAAATGGCAAAGCTACTTTGGAAGATAATTTTGGTAGTTTCTAAAAAAGCTAAATGTAATCTTACGAAATGGTACAGCAGTTACACTCCTGGGTATTTGCCCAACTGATTTGAAAACTTATAACCACACAGAAACATTCACATTAATTCTTATATCAACTTTATTCTTAAACACCAACAATTGAAAGATACTAAGAGGTCCTTCCATTAGGTGATGAATAAACAAATTGTGGTAAATCAATGCAATGGAATACTAATCAGCAATAGAGAGAATGAGCTATCTATCAAGCCATGTTGAAAAATGTATAAATCTTAAGTGCATATTGCTATTTGAAAAAGCCAGCCTGAAAAGGCTAAGTACCGTAGAATTTAAATTATTTGGCATTCTGGAGGAGGCAAAAATACAAAAATGGCAAACATATCAGTATTTAAAGTGGTCTGTTGATAAGCTAAGGTTGAAAAGTGAATCACAGTCCAGTGAAAGTATATAATTCTGTATGATACTCAAATGGTGATTACATGACATTATTCATTTGGATAAGCCCATAGTTCTTCACAGCAAGAAGAGTGAACCTTAATGCATGCAAATTATATAAAACATTTAGGAAATAAAGATAAACACACATGCAATGAAGATTGTGACAAAATAAACCAGTTGTATTATAAATATAACTGAATGCAAGTCCAGCTGCTCACAGCTTTAAAGCAAAAATAGGAGAAGTGGGGTCTGGTGAAAGGAAAGCAATTTTATTCAAATGGCAGTTCGTAAATGGCCGGGCTCATTCCTCTGAAAGACATTTCAAAATATTAAGCACATAAATGAGTTTAAGAAAGGTAACCTGGCATGGGAAGCATGTGCGAGTGGGGTGAAGAACAGGATCTGTGTGTCTTGTTCTGATGGCTATCTTGACTAAACTCCCTTTAGGAGGTCTTGTTGGTACTGTCTTGACTTTGGCCCAGTAGTGGTGTACTGATTGTTCACAACTCCCTCTAGGCAAGAGAGGATTCTACAGCTGAGTCTCCATGCATTAGTTTATTTCAGGTTTAGCCCCTGATATTTCTAAACAAGCACTTAATTAGAGAAGCTAGAACAGTGCAAGGGAATATCTGGTTGAAAAGAAGAAAAACAAAGGGTTTCAAAGTACATTTCAAGGTTAAGACTAGAAAAGAGAAAAAAAGTTTTAAAATGTATTTTGAAACTAAACTGCACAGTTACACAACTGTAGGAAACCTCATTAAGAAAAGGTTTGTTGTAAAATATGGAGACTTCTGGAAATAAGTGAAACCAAGAAGTTTAAAGATAAAAAGAACTGCACAAAAAACATACTGCACCATAGTTAATAAAGTTGCTTAGTTGTCTCCCATGGGGATACCATATAACAGTTCTGAAATTGATATACACATATACTAAAATTAAACAATCAAGTAAATAAGTAGTAGATGATGGGAGCAAGCTTTTTCACTGTTAGAAGGGGAAGTTACTGATAAGCAAGGGGAGGAGGAAGTATAATTTATTTGAAAGGATTAGAGTTGAAGAGATAGCTGAAGGTATGTTTAGCTTAACACAGATATAGATGGAAAACTTCAGATGGATAGCTAGAGAGATATTTGTATATACATGGTTTGTATACACACATACATAGATTTGCTATGTCAGCTAAGAGGATCTAAAAATAATGACACTGGTAGCAATGAGCATATAGAGCACCAACATAATCCTTTCTAATATTTTTCCCCAGTAAAAGAAACCAGACCTCCTTGAAGAAATAGTTGATTTTAGGGTTAAGTCAGGAACTATTGAAGAGGTGCCTGGAGTATCTCACAATACAAGAAAATAAGAAAGTGTTCAATTAAAACAAAGAATCACCCAAAAGTTTGGGGGTATGGCAAAGAGAGAAGGCAACTGAAGCAATTCCCAAAAGCCAAAGCTGGAACAAATTGAGCAAGAAAATAAAGTAGTATTGAATTATAACCCAAAGTACAAAATAAATATTTATGAGTCATTGCTTATAAAAACAAATATTGAATAAAAATAAAATTAAATGAGTGTGAGTAGGGAAATGGGAAAATTCTCCAGTGCAGAATTCTAAACAATTTATTTAGAGACTTTACCCTTAAGGAGGTGAAATAAAATTTCCCACTTGTCAAGTCTGAGCTGCATACATGACTACCAAAGGTTACAGTATGGAGACAGGGAAAAAGAGTAACTTTCCAGTAGAGGAACCTGATAAACACTATCTCAACCAGGAATCAAGGTCAATATCAACTCTGTTACATTGTGTTGATGGTGTGTACTTTTGTAGTATTGTGATGAAATGGCACTTTACCTGTGTTGTTTTCAAAAACCCGTTAACTCAGTTTAAATGGGAGAACAACATCAGCCAAATTCTAATTGAGGGATTTTCTGCAATATCCCTGACTAATACTCCCGAAAATTGTCAAGGTCATCGAAAGTAAGGAAAGTCAGAAAAACCGTAACAGCAAAGAAGTGCCTCAGGAAAAGTGACTGATAAATATAATATGATATACTGGATGGGATCCTGGAAAAAAATAGACATTAGATAAAAACTAAAGAAATCTGAATATGTGTGGATTTTAGTTAATATTGAAACATAAATATTGGTTCGTTAATTGTAAAAATGTACCATACTAATTTAACATATTATTATGTGAAGCATATGGGGAACTTCTAAAAATTCTTTATAATTGTACTGTAAACTTAAAATTACATTAAAAGTTTTAACAATTTATTAAAATCAACCAATGTAATGTATCATATTAATAAATTATAAAAGATAAAAACATTATATTTTAATGCCTGGAGAAGTAGAATTTGACAAAGCAAATATCCATTCCTGGGGGAAAAAAGACCAAACTGCTTAGCCAGTCAAACCTGGGATTTTCTGTGTGTGTGTGTGTGTGTGTGTGTGTGTGTGTGTGTGTGTGTGTGTGTATTTTAACCAAAAGATTTCTTCCAGCCACTAAATCTTAGCTCTAAGCTCTCAGCTCTTCCTTGGATTATGTACAGTATGAAAAATAGATGACCAAGATTTACTGTTATTGGAATATTTTCAATTTGGAAAGAAAATTGCTGTTGAGATGGATATTGCACATCTCTCATGACTATCAAGGGCTAGGATAAGTAGTCAATAATGGTAGATATCATAACATTTTGTGTGACAAAGCACAGATTTCAGAGGATGCATAATCTGAGTCTAAAGATAAATGGATCATATATTATATGCTTCATATGTGCTTTATGGACTTCATAACAACATAATAAATAACCAATCTTGCGGTCCTAGAAGGGATTGTCATTCTCTCCTTGGCACTATAATTCCATCATTTTCACCAATCAGTAATGATTAAGACCCCACACTGGGTACTAATTTCCATATTAGTTTTAACTTTTGGTTGCAATGACAGGAACACAACTCAATCAATCTACTTTTGGCAAATGGATAATGCTTTTACTCACAGAATCCACACACTAGATGAAAGATAACTCCAGAAAGATGCACACATCTTGGACACTAGATTAGAAGGAACAAGAAAGTAAATCATCTAGGGTCTCATTCTTTTCTTTGTTTCTCCTCTTTGATTGTTAAGATCAACCTATCTTACTTTATCTGAATTTTTTGCACATTGATTTAAATTAGTAAAGATGATAACTCTAATATTACAGCAATTATTTAGATTGACTTGAAACTCTTTATAAATGAGGCCCAAATGTTACTAAGAAACTCACTGATATAGTTTGTCAGGTGACATATAGACCAAACCACTGAATCCAGAAGAATGAAGATTTAGGAATTTCCTATCATAACCTGGTTATTAACCTGTGAGGATGATAAGTTGAAACAGGATGTAAGATCCTGCACTAATATTTGAATAGGGAGATTGGCTATTCTAAAGGAAAATGGTAATGGGCAGCCAATCCCATGTGTTCATAACAATTGATCAATAGTACAGACTTAAACCTAAAAATTGTATATATGTATGACTCTATATATATACACACATACATACAAACACATACACACACAATTTGGCTTAACTACAGCCATATTATTTTACCTAGACAAACTTTAAGATTGATATTTATAAATGAAGCAAACTAGTTGCTATAAACTGAATGTTTTTGTTGCTTCTCCCCCAGTATAATGACATTTGTTAAGGTGGACCTTTGGAAGGTAATTAGGTTTAAATTTTGTTATGAAGGTGGGGTTACCATAATGGGATTAGTGTCCTTATATGGAGAAGAAGAGAGACCTGAGCCTTCCCTCTCTCTCTTCACCATATGAGAACACAGTTAAAAGGCAGCTGTCTGCAAGCCGGGACCCTCACCAGAAACCAAATTTGCCAGCACTTTGACCTTGGACTTTCAGCCTCCAGACCTCTGAAAAATGAATATCTCTTTCTTAAGCTACCTGGCATAAGGCATTCTCTTATAGCAGCCTGAAGAGACTAATAGATGAGGTTAAGCAAAGCATGATGTATTAGGAAGCTGAGGTATATGAAGCAGACCAATATTGATTTTTATTTCAGTTCTTTTTACTGTTATTTGTACAATGCTGAACAAATGGTTTCATCAATCATGAATCTAACTATAATTTCCCTACTTGGAAACATAGTTAACATACCTTATATGATGTTTGTGAGAATTAGCTTTAGTATACTATAAATAACTGAGCATAGTTACGACTCAATTTCCAAACATCACACGGGATATTCTTAATAAAGTTATGTGTGTGTGTGTGTGTGTGTGTGTGTGTGTGTGTAATATTTTAACCCATGGAATTTTGATGTTGATCTTATGTATCATTTTGGATGTATTAAAAAATATATCCCAAAGCAATATATTAAATAGATTGTAGAGTTATAGTTATATATTCTACAGAAGGAATGGGGGAAAACCCAGGATACTTATATAAAGAAATGTTTGTTCTTTGTAATAAAGTTTATGGTGAAAATTTCAAATATAAATTACTGATATAAAGAATATCAAGGAATTAAAAGTATGTGAAAGTAAAAGCTATAAAATACTTTCTAATGCTATATTTATTAGCATTAGAACCATTTTATTTATGTTTTTGTTACTTCTCCCCCAATACAATGGTATTTATAAGTTGAATCTTTGGAAAGTAATCAGGCATTAGAGCCATCCTAAAATATATGCAAACACAAAGAGACTTCAGAAAGTTAATAGAAAATGCATATTAAGAAAAAAGCTATGCATAAAATTCAAAATTTATTACACCAAAATAAACTCATACTAACTTATTAAAATATGTCTGGACAGGATCCAGTTTGAGGCACTAAGGACAATTAAAACAAGAGTTTGAAAAGAGCCCTTATTAGAGAAACATGAAGTCTGCTAAAATGAAAGCAAGAACAAACATCAAATTTATGGTAAAGGTTAGGTGGAAGAATAGTAAAATTATTGATTAATACTAATTTTCAAAAGTTTATGGGGTAAATACTCTAAAGAAATCAGCAATTTGCAAATAAATAACATTTTTAAAATTTGCAGTAACTTGAGGGGTACAAGTGGTTTTTGGTGACATGAATGAATTGTACAGTAGCAATAATATTTTAATAAAGATTGAAATAATGTTAAAGATGAAGCTCACAGTGGCTGAACATTCACATCAATTTGAAAGGAAAAAAATTAATCTGGTTCTTGCTCTGATTGAAAAGCAGCTACAATTAAAAACAGAAGAAAAAGCATCTCTGTAATTAGCTCAGCTTACACAATCCTGACTGAAAAAAAATAAAGTTGAGCAAACTATCCATTCAATAGAAAAAAACCACTGTGCCCAGTTCACCTGCAGACAAGGGTATAGCTTTCAATTGAAATTTTAAACAAGTGGTATCAAGATTCTGAAGCATGTCTTTGAAGAATTATAATAGTTGATAAAACATGGTTTTACTAGTACAACCCTGAAGACAAAGCACAATCAAAGCAATGACTACTAAAGTTGGATGTGGTTCAGTCAAAGACAAAGCAGACCAGTCAAGAGAAAAGGTCATGGCAACAGCTTTTTGAAATATGTAAGACATTTTGCCTGTTGACTTTCTGGAGGGCCAAAAAACAATAACATCTGCGTATTATGAAAGTATTTTGAGAAATTTTGCCAAAACCTTAGCAGAAAAATATCTGGGAAAGCTTCATCAGAGAGTTCTTCTTCGCCATAACAAAGCTTCTGCTCATTCTTCTCATCAAACAAGGACAATTTTGTGAGTTTTAATGGGAAATCATTATCCACCTTATAGTCATGATTTGACTCCGTCTAACTTCTTTTTGTTTTCTAATCTTAAAAAGCATCTGCAAAGAACACCCATTTTTTCTCAGTTAACAATTCAAAAATAGACTGCATTGATATGATTAAATTTACAGGACCCTCAGTTCTTCAGAGATGAACTAAATGGCTACCATCATCACCTACAAAACTGTCTTGAACTTGATGGAACTTACGTTAAGAAATACAGTTTATATTTTAAATTTTTACCTTCTAATTTTAATTTTCCATGAACTTTGAAATCTGTTAACAATTTGTGAATGATTTTTTATGAAGTGTGACAACAGAAAAATAATATGTTCAAATAAATGTTCACAGTGATTTAAGATATATGGATATCTGTTTTCAAATAAAATAACTTGATATCAGACATTTATTTTCTCATTTCTGAATATTTTTAATTTTCATATTGGACCAACAACTCTTGTTTCAAATCTTCTTGAAGAAATAGTGAAGAATTAAATAAATATGGCATACATTATAATTAAGCACAATCTAGTCACCTTTTTTATTATATTAATTTCATAAGAAAGCATTTTTGTAAAGGAAAATGCTTTAAGTGTGATATCTTATTTTATTTTAGTTTGTAACTCCAAAATTTTAATTACAGAATTAACATAGAAGTATCACTTCAGCAGTCTTCAGTAGTCATTTCAAATGCCACCTCTGCATTAACCTCCTAACCTTTATAGCTGATTTAAATCATTATTTTCTCATTTTTGATCATAATGGTCATTTATATCATTTTTATTGGATTATTAATCTCTTTCTTGTATTTTTAGGTAATGTTTACTTGACTTCGTTCCCTTAGTAGGAAGTGATGCATAGTTTTTTGGAGGTAGAGGGTAATTTATGAATGATATTAGTAATATTTTTTATTTACCTCTTTTACCAAAACCCTTCCTGCCTTGCTTCAATGCCTAGGACTGTTTCTTGTTCAGAATAGATACTTAATAGTATTCTTATTTGTTGTTTTGCGATACAGTCTCACTCTGTTGCCCAGTCTGCAGTGCAGTGGCTCAATCTCAGCTCGCTGCAACCTCCACCTCCTGGGTTCAAGGGATTCTAATGCCTCAGCCTCCCAAGTAGCTGGGATTACAGGCATGTGCCACCACACTTGGCTAACTGTTGTATTTTTGGTAGAGATAGGGTTTCACCATATTGGCCAGGCTGGTCTCCAACTCCTGACCTCAAATGGATAGCCCTCATCAGCCTCCAAAAGTGCTGGGATTATACGCATGAGCCACCATGCCCAGCCTTAATAGTATGCCTCAAATGCTGAACAAATGCATATCCTCATTTGAGAAACTGTGCCTAATAGTCTAAAAATTTCTTCAGTGTTGATTTTGTTGTGTTTACCTAAAACTTCTAGGTGCATCTTTCTCTAGATTTCAAAAGCACATGGGAAACAGCACTTTAGGTATTCTTTTGAATATATAACCAGGCATTCAAAAGAATGTGTTTAAAATGTGATGATGTGATATACAAAAAGAGCCATTGTATGTTATTTGCTAGAAAATCATTCCTGGGCTTTCACATGATGCCTTTTCAGTCTGGCTCTCTTAAATACCTAGGGCTAAGGATAAGGCTATTTGTACTTCTGTTGATAAGAATAAAATATTTAGGAAAGTGTTCGTGTGTCATTGACTGACAACTAAGTTACATTTAAATTAGCTGGCATTAGAGATTAATTTTCCGCATGGTCATATATTATTATAATCATCTGCATTATCTTCATTAGGTTTATTTTCATGCTTTATCATGTGAAAAATTAAGTGTTTTAGTTTGTTTCTTTCAAGGTTCTGCAGCTTTATCTGTGAAAATTATTGAAGTGATTCAAATACAGTACAGCACAATTCCATCCTTCCCATAAAAGGTATTTGAACATCAGAGAAAATATATTCATAATAACAAATATATTAAATACATAAGTATCTGGATTTATACATAGAAATAAACATAGTTACATAGCTCTATGGGTAAATCATTCTATACTAACCAATATGAAATCTATCAGAAGATAGTATTCTCAGATGCTAAAAATTAATCTTAACTCACACTATTTGAAATGTACACCTATCATATTATATATTAGTGCTCTTCTTTTAATAATCACCAAGGCACTAGGACTACTGAAATATAGTGGCTTTTAGTTTGCAAAATATATATTAATTATGAATAAATGAATAGACCTATAATATTACAAGTAAAATGTTTTCAACTCAGAATACTAGAAGGGCAAAAACTATGAAAATCTGTCTTCTTAGGCTGTCTCATAAAAGAGTCGTTTTTAAAGCATTTATTTATTCTTTTAACACATCTTTAACAGATGCTTAGTTTGCATATAAAAAATGTTTTAGACTCTAGAATGCTTTTGCCTTCAAAATTTGAATAGTGTAACAAAATGCACATAAAACGCTTTGAAATTCACGAATAAATTTTATTCTTTTTTTTTCAATTTTATTGTAAATTACAGAGGGTTAAAATCACTATATGTATTTTAAAAAGGGACTGAAAATCACCATGTTCTGAACAGAAGTAACTGGAGTAAAATAAGTTTGCATCCTCATAAAATTCAATACAGAACTCTAGTAGGTTAGACTATATCATAAGATTATTACTTCTAATAACCAAATCTTGAACTGTGTCCATCTAAGGAAGCATTGTCTTGGAAAAAAAATATAAAATATTTTACTATAGCTGCCATTTGTATTTTCCAGACTAATCTAAAGGAGGGAAGTTGAACAGTTTGATTTCTCCTCTTGCTTACTTGGCAATGCTCTCCTTCCTCAATTTCTAATGATGATCAGAATAGCTCAGTTCTCCATCCCAGTGATGCCTAAATGGCTATTCATGCAGTTCAGAGATTTTTTGGACAACATCTGTCTTCTTTTCCCTCTCTTTGGACTTTTAAATGTCTTTTTCTTTTAATATCTCACATCCAACCTCTTCTTATCATGGGTTAATTGTTCAGCTCCATTAGGTTTATGACATCCTGGAGTGCAAAATGAAGAAAAGTAAATGGATTTCAGAGTTCACTGCCCACAATATGTGGTATATGAAAGATAACAAAATCTTTTACACTAGTTATGTTAGCATTTGGTGAACATTCCATAAGATTTTTGAAAATTAAAAGGGATTATGCAAGTTAAATATGTTAAAACTTATCACTCTCCTGTCTCTGTCTGTGTGTGTGTGTGTGTGTGTGTGTGTGTGTGTGGTGTGTGTGTGTGTATGTGGCACGTATCCAAATACAATGAATTTTTTCCAGTATTTTGTGTTTTTTTCTGAAACTGATTAATTCTTGATTTCTACTTGAATTTAGCATTGTTTCCTAGGGTAAACACAAGTAGATTCAGGTATTAAAAGCAAGTAGATTCAGGCCATGCACTGTGACTCATGCTTGTAAACCCAGAACTATGGGAGGCCAAGGTTGGAGGATCTCTTGAGCCCAGGAGTTTGAGACCAGTCAACAAAGTAAGACACTATCTCTACAAAAAAAAAAAAATCTAGGCATGGTTGTGTGTGCCTATGATCCCATGATCCCAGATACTCAGGAGGTTGAGGTGGGAGGATTGCTTGGGTCCAGGAAGTCAAGTCTGCAGTAAGCCATGATTGTGCCACTGCTTTCCAGCCTGGGTAACAGAATAAGAGCCTCCTATCTCAGAAAAAAAAAACAGATTAAAAAAACAGATATTTGTTTTTCAGAAACCTGATTGTTCTGTAAGAAAATATTATTTCTATATTTTTTAAATATCATATTTATTTGGACTTAAACCCTATTTGATTTTTCTATATGAATGTAATACTTCTTACCTATGAATCAAAGAAGAAACCACAGTTTGAAAATGAACAATAAAACTATGGCATAATAAGCCTAAAGAATTGCCAAAAGAAACATTTATGACCTAAAATGCATATATTTAAAAAATAAGAAAACTTAAAAATTAGTAACAAGCTTTTGTGTCAATAAATTAGAAAAAACATGTTGGGGAAAAGCTGAGTGTTGGGAAAAAAGCTGAGGCAGGACTTGCATGTCTGACATAATGTAAAAGAGTCTTGGAACATGTCCAGGGTCCAGGATCTAAAACCCCTCATGGCCTTTGGAACACCAAGCTCTGTGCCAAAGGGTGGAAGGCTGCCCTGACACACCACAGTCTAAGCCCAGGGGATAAAACCCCTTGTGGCTTAGGTGGAATCCAGAGCTCAGGGAATAAAACCCCTCGTGGCTTCTGGAATGTGTCTAGACTTGCTGGCTCCTTGCTGCTGGCACTCCCAGGCTAATGGATCAATTGTGTCTTAAACTAGAACATATTTCCCATTATCTTGAGTAGCAGAACATGTTCCATATGCTTCAAAGAAAATGCTAAATGGTCACAACTGTAGACCATGTGCTTGATGCACCACTTTCTCTCAATCCCCACATCCTCACCACCTGCTTCTTTGTTTGATCACCAATAAATATCATGGGCTCCCAAAGTGCAGTGCCTTTACAGCCTCCATACTAGCGTTGGCCCCTTGGTCCCACCTTATGCACTCTTAAACTTGTCTTTTCTCATTCCTTTGACTCTGTTGGACTTTGCCGTCCCCATGGCCTGGTGTTGGATCTGATCACCCCAACAAAAACACACTAAACTAAGAGCAAGACAGTAAAATATAGTAAGTAAAGATAGCATAAACAATTAAAATAGAAAGAAGGTAAAATATCAAGAAAATAAATAAAGACAAAAAGTTATTTTTGGAGAGAAAATACATCCATAGATCCATAATATTACACCTTTGTAATTTATCAGATTGATTTTGGAAACTGAACATACAGCTACAATTTCAGTCCTACATGTGTCTAATAGAAGTACATATGTCAGCCAAAAAGACATGTGTAGGAATTTTTCATAAACACTTTAGACAGATTATACAAAATCTGGAAACAAAAAAGATAATCAATATAACAATGGGTATATAACCCTGAGATATTACTGAAATGGAATACCCCACAGCAATCAATAATAAAGAGGACGTCCAGCTATGAACAGTATAGATGAATCTTATGCATGTTGCATCAAACAAAGCAAGTCAGGAGCAAATGAGTATGTGTAGTACATGGTATAATCTCAATTTATTAATTTCAAGAATAGGTTAATATAATTGATGGTGGTAGATCAGAATAGTGATAACTTGTTGGGGAAATATTAATGGGGAAGGAACAGAAGGGAACATTCTTGGGTGCTGGAAATATTTATATCTTAACCTGGGGTTGTTTCATTAGTTACCTTTTTTGCATGTAAAACAGCATTGAGTTGTATACTTGAAGTATGTTAACTACATTGTTTTTATCCACCTCAAAAACTGTAGTCATACTGCATGTGTGAGTTTCAGTTGACATGATTTAGTGAAGATGTCATTTAGATTAAAAATTAAATGGTAAAAATTGAAAAGTGCTGTGAGATAAAAGAAATAAAAATATGAATTAAATATCTGAAAATATGGTCACATTTAATAATAAAGATTGAATGCAAATGTAATATGCATTTTTATCTTCAGAGTGTGTTTAACTATACTTAATGTCAATTTATGAGAATTCAAGCCACCTAATGTAACTACTATTAGTAAAATTATAAGTTAATAAAATTTTTTTGGAGGGGATGCTGATATTGTGTATAAAGAATAAAATGTATGTATTCTTTAAAAATAATGATATATCTCTAATAAATACTTATCCTAAGGCAATAATAAAAGAAGTGTGATCATGTTTGTGGGAAACGCAATTGTGTTTTTCCAACAAATAAAAGTAAAAATGAAAAATTTTATTAAAAACATATTTATATTAGAAATAGGATCTTACATAAGAGAAGTGGAAATAGATTGTCCCACATGAGAAAAGATAGTCTTGGTTCAGTAGTAGTTATACATTTACTCCATCTATCTTTTCCATTTCTTCCTAACTTGTGAGATGAGAGAAAGCAGACAGGGAGGATTATGATCATCTCTGTTTTGCTTCTTATCTATGATAATGTTCTCATTGTATGTTTTAACTGCCTTCTCTCATAAACTCCAGCAGTTGACAACTCCTCTTGCCAACTGTGGTCTGTTACCAGTCACTTACACTAGGAAGAAGTAAGGACACCATCAAATTTCTTTATAAGGTTTCATGGCTGAATGGCAAAATATTTTCACTTTTGAAGGCACTAAATCAATATTGCCTTATACATTAAATATGCATATTATGAAGTTGTTTATGTACATGTAATTATGTATAGTATTAGCTTCAGCTGATATATCCCCTATGGACTTAATATATATGCAATAATTTTTGATGTTTTGGGAAAATAAAATGGTAATCACAAAATGATATGAAAGCAGTCACTTAAAATTAAGAATTTTTTTCTAGGAGTTTTGAAGATGACATTAAACTATGTTTTAAATCAGCTTGAACTCTGTTACCATATCCTTAATTGTGAGAAACCTTGGTCCAAAGAGATTTTATTATGAGACCAAGCAGATAGTTCATAACAAAATTGTTAATTGTTTAGTGATAATATTAAAGCATAGTAAGGAAAATAGGGAAATCAACAAATTATTTGGTTAAAGCAAAAATATAGTAAGTATCCCTCTGTAACTCAGTAACAAAAGATGAATTGAGTATAGTCTCTTGACTTTTTTTTTTTTAGACATTTTTTGGGGGGTTAAGGGGGAGGATATACTTTTCTAATCATTATTGCTTCACAAGTACACAAATCTTAGGAACAAAATTTTAAAATTTTAAATTTTCAAAAATTAAGTTTATACCAGTATTGGTAAAGATTAAACTAAACACTTTTCCTTCCTCCCTCCCTGCCTTCCTTCTTTCCTTTCTCTCTTCCTCCCTCCCTCCCTTCCTTTCTTCCCTTTTTTCCTTCCTTTTATCTTTCACTTCCTTCTGCCATTGTTTTTTATTCCTTCCTTCCATCATGGACCTGAATATTTGTTTGCTGTAACTTAAATATTCTGTGCCTATAATACAGATTTTTGAAATACTGATAAAAAGTGACTACAAAATTATCTTGTAAGTTAGCCACTTTGAGACAACCACATTTATCTAGTAACCTTTCCATTAAAATGCTGACTCTTATGTACTCACACATACAGATATACATAATCATTCAATAAGTATTTGTTGAGAATTTTAATAATCTGAAATTCAAAGAAAGACAGATTTTTTAAAAAGCAGTGTAATACTCCACAATATTTCAAGTACTTAATAAAAACTAAATTAATCACACAGTAAGAAAAACTAAACAGTTCCCAAAAAATAATTAGGGAACTACTGCAGTTAAAAGACAAACCCTGACACCACGCAATTGCAACTCTGTCTTAACTACAATAGAACTGTAAACAGTTTCGCAGCCCCCTCCTGTTCTAACATTTCCTGGGCTTCCCTTTACCAATTTAATACCATTTTTATGGCAGAACACAATCACAGCAGCATATCACATATTTCCACTGAAGCATCAAGCTTTTAAAAAGCAGGGAAAACATTATATGTATAGGTGGAAATCCATTATTGCTGAATTGCAAATTAAATGGACATACTGTAATTTTCTGACACAGTAGGAACACTGTAAAAAGAATCTGTCTTGAATTGGCATTTTCCTTTGTTTGTAACTGGCCATAAAGTATGCTTTCTAACTAAAACTTTTAAATGCTTTTAATTAATGGAATATAAAAAATAGGCCCATGTCAAAATTAGTCCCATGTCTACTGACTAGTCATTAAAATGTAAGGTCATGGCCTAGTTTAGCAAAAGCAAAGATAAGATTCAGTGGTTGAAATCTTAATATATGGTGAAACTTCTTATGGTTGTCTGGCTTTTTAGGAAACCCTGTGTTTCTATTGTCTTATTTCAATAAATTATAAGCTAAATTAGATAAATTAAAATTTTTGGAAAAAAATTAAATGAAGAGGAAATTAAAGACAAATTTTTGTTTCAAAGAAAGAATTAGTCATTTACCTTGCTATAATTGACTACTTGGTAGTTTAGTCTATGACCTACCTGGTCATCTTTGGGAAAAATTTGTCAGAAAAAAAGAATGAGTTGGTGTTAAAAAGGTTCGACATGCTTTAAAAATACATTGTGGAATTAGATTTGGATGAGATAGATGTTTCCACATTGTTCACAGATGTTTAATTGTCTAATCAGACAAATGGAGAGAATAACATCAACCAAGCACAAAGCCTCTTTCTTCTACAAGTGGAAGTAAGCACTTTTTGTGCTTCTCTACTAGAATCTCAAAATATTTTCTCCATCTTCATCTGAGTGTTATAAGTGGAAGACTAAATAATACCAATAACAATAATTTCCATGATTATTTTACATCATTACATATATAAACTAAGCTCCGACATGTCTTGAGAATCTATGATCCCATGTCTGATGTTTTTCTCATGATTAGACTATAAAGACAAGTTTTTTTTTCTTTTTTTTTCAGAATGACCAAGGAAGTAAGTTGCCGTTTTTATCACATAATGTTAAAGGTACATATGATCAAATTAAGTTATTACTGCTGATAGTAGCCTTGATCACTTGGCTGAGGGGTTATTTTTTATCTTTCTGTACTATAAAATTACTTTTTTTTTCTTTTGTACACTGAACTCTTTGGAAGGATGTTATAAGAAGCCACCACTTAAAGGGTATGAAGTTATACTCCACCTCCTTAAGGGTGGAATACATACATGTATATATATATATATATATATATATATATATATATATATATATATACGTTGTTTAGAATTTTTCTGCACAGATATTTTTTGTTTTCAAATTTATTTATTCAAATATATTAATATGGCTAATCAATAATTTGTTTCTCACATTGGAAGCTTTTCAGTTGTCTCTGCGTCCCTTTGATGTGCCTTCATCATAGTAGGTTTTATTTTTTTATTTTATTTATTTAGAACTTTACTTTCCTGCACTACAAAATATTCTGGGTTTATTGTATCTCCTGTCCAAACTCAAACTTGGAATCAGCCATTTCACCAAGGAATCCTGATCTCTTTTCTTGTAAAATTGGTTTTAGAAATCAAGATATGAGTGCTGGGTGCGCTCTTTGCTATTATGGTTGCTTGTAGCCCTTCTGAGATGACAGAGAAGGAAAATACACAAGAGTGTGTTAACCCATATATCTATGCATATCAATAAATTTTGCTATGTTACCATCTATGTATTATGTTACACAAGGCTTCAGACTGATATCTCCAACTCTAATTCATAATCACATGAATCATTCTAGCCTCCTCCCCTTGCCCATTTATAACTTCCCTCTTCAGCAATGAGAAACGTGGCTCCCACTGTTACTGGTGGGTCTTTGTTCTTAGAGCTCCCAAGATGGTGGCAGGCCACTCCCAAGTTGGGGGCCGACCATTTGTTCTGTGACCTGGGGTTCTTGGCCTCACGGATTTCAAGGAATGAAACCTTGGGCCATGCATGAGTGTTATAGCTCTATTAGAAGCCGTGGGTCACAGAAGAGAACCATTGAACCCAGTGACTAGTGTTCAGCTCAATTAGGATGAACCCGGGCACTTAGCCACGCAGGAACAATGGTGAGCCTCTAGCCTGATCAGGAGCAGCAACGGGAGCCTCGCTGGATCAGAAGCACAGTGGACACCCTGCCTGATCCAGAGGAGTGACAGTCAATGTGGGTCTGCGACAGTGGCGATCACCAGTGGTGGACAGTGAGGGAAAACTCAGCTTGAGCTGGAACAAACATGGACTGGAAGAGCGTACATTTGCAAGATTTAGTAGAGTGAAAACAGAGTGCCCATACAAGGGGAGAGGACCCAAAGGGGGCTGCTCACTCCTGGCTCGAATGCCTGGAGTTTATATCCCAATCACTGTCCCTCCCGCTCTGCTCTCAGATGATAGATGATTTGATTATTTCTTTACGTCCTGCTTTTAGCCTAATTGGTATTTTAGTGAGCCCTCTCTACTACCTGATTGGTCAGGTGTGAGCTGAGTTACAAGCCCCATATTTCAAGATGGACATGGTCACCTTCCCCAGCTAGGCTTAGGAATTCTTAATCAGCCTAGGAAATCCAGATAATACTGTATCTCAGTCCCTCCTCTCAACAGGAAAACCCAAGTGCTGTTGGGGAGTTGGCTGATGACCGCTCTAACTGCCTCCTGCTGAAGTGGGGTGTAGTAGGGGTCATGCAGTTGAGATTTTGTCAGGAGGGATGCCTTCGATGTCATCAACATCGGAGCATGGGCTAGCAGGCCAGTCCAGGGGTCCGCAGTAGATCTTAGTCATGGACTGCATCTGGGGCTCCATTTCAAGAACGATTTGTAGTTTTACAGCTTCGATTCTGGAAGAGACAAACTTAACAAGGAGGTTAAAGATACCGGGATTGAAATGTATGGCCTGAAGTGCAGAGGATTATTTCTTTGGCACACTTTACAGGCCCTGACTATCTGCTTGATAGTTTTGAAAATGCCTGGTCCAGTAAATTATGATTTGGCCATCTCATGGGTGCTATCAATGCCTAAGTGAAAGGTTTGGTTAAGAGTTTTAAGTAATTTCCATTGCTTAGCTGCAGACAAAAGTATTTTTCCTTCTTCAGTGGCTAGCCATCCTGAGGGGAGGAAGCTATGTCCTCGTGAGGTTACCTATTCTATTTCTTCTGCTGAGTACTGGGGCTTGGTTTCCCAGAGGGGATTACCCCATACTAGGGGTCCTTCTATAAGCATTTCTAAAGGAGGGTCCCACCTTGTGGCTCTTTTGGGTTCAATATCTGCTCGGTGGTTTTCTTCTGTTTCCTTTTCCTTTCCTTTCTGATAACCCCAGCAGTGTAAGACTGCCACCTCTTTAGGTTTCTGTACAGCCAATAATAATCTCCTAGTGGCTTCCTGATGTTTGATAGATGTTCCCTCGGAAGTTAGGAATTCCCTTTCTCTCCATATTGCTGCATGGGCATGGAGGACTAGGTAAGAATTCTTAGAGTCTGTATATATATATTTTTCCTCTTTCCTTCTCCTAATTCTAGTGCCCGAGTGAGGGCTATTAGTTCTGCCAGCTGAGCGCTAGTTCCTGGAGTGAGGGGCTTACTTTCAAGTATTTATTCCATTATCACTGACCACTGCATACCCTGCCTTTCAAAGTCCTTTTTCTACAAAGGAGCTTCCATCAGTATACAAGTTGAGGTCGGGATCAGTCAGGGCAACCTTTAGAAGGTCCCCTCGAGCAGTGTAGGTTTGAGCAATTGTTGACGGTTATGTTCCATCTTTACTTCATTGTCTGGAAGAAATGTGGCTGGGTTAAGAGTTGCACAAGTGAGCAGTCGCAGCACTGGTCCTTCAAGTAATAGGGCCTGATATTTAAGCAAATGTTGTCTGACGGCCACAAGTCTCCTTTAGCAGTGAGTATGCCATTCACATCATGAGATGTCCACATGGTAAGATCTCTTCCCTGTATTATTTTAACTGCTTCAGATACTAAGACTGCTACTGCTGCCACTGCCCATAAACAATGAGGCTAACCCTTTTCCACTACATCAATTTCCTTACTCAGCTATGCCACGGGTTGCGAGCTGGTCCCTTGGACGTGTGTAAGGAGTCCTAGAGCTATTTCTGTTTTTTTCTGTGACATATAAAGAAAAGTCTTGCCCCATTGGCAAGCTTAACACTGGGGCTTGGGTTAAGGCTTCTTTAGGGCCTGAAAAGCTGTTTCTGCTTCAGGTGTCCATTCTACTAAATGAGTATTGGCTTTCTGAGTTTCCTTAATTAGTGTGTATAATGGCCTGGCTCTTTCGCTGTACCTGGGAATCCGTATTTGGCAGAAGCTTGTTATGCCATGGAAACCTCTTAATTGCTTCAGGGTTTTGGGATCAGGATAAGCCAGTATAGGATGGATACATTCCTCGCTGAGGGCCCTGGTGCCTTTGGATAATTTTAACCCTAAGTATTTAACCTGCTATAAGTAGAGCTGAGACTTTGGTTTGGAAACCTTGTAGCCACAAGTGGTGAGGAAGTTTAAAAGCACTTGGGTGGCTTGATGGCACAAGGCTTCTGCAGGGGCGGCTAGATGTAAATCATCCATGTACCAAACAACATGAGTGTTCAAGTATGAGAACTGGCTCAAGTGTTGGGCTTGGGTTGATGCCTGGCCGAATAGATGAGGGCTATCCCTGAACCCTTGGGGTAAAACATTCCAGGTGAGTTGAGACATTGGGTTAGAAGGATCTCCAAAGGCAAACAAGAATTGAGAGTCAGGATGTACAGGAATGCAGAAAAAGACATCCTTAAGGTCCAGGACTATAAACCACTCTGCCTCCTCTGGCATTTGGGAAAGCAGAGTATAAGGGTTAGGTACAGCTGGGTATAGAGGGACAATGGCCTCATTGATAATCCTGAGATCTTGCACTAACCTCTACTGTCTGTTGGGTTTCTGTACTCCTAAAATTGGAGTATTGCAGGGGCTATTCCATGGTTTTACTAGGCCTTGGGCTTTTTTTAGGTCCTTAACAATGTTTTGGAGTCCTTGTTGGGCCTCAGGTCTAAGGGGGTACTGCCTTTGGTAGGGAAAGGAGGTGGAATCCTTTAGTTTAACATGAACGGGATGGGCATCCTTTGTTCATCCATACTGTCCTTCTGTTGCCCAGACATCAGGATTAATTCCTTTCTCAAGTAGAGGACAACAAGCAGGTGATCCTTCTCCTATGTTCAGATGTATAATGGCCCCTGCTTTTGCTAGAATGTCTCTCCCTAACAAAGGAGCAGGGCTTTCAGACAAAATTTGAAAGGCATGTGAAAGAGAAAAGTTCCCCAGTCACAACTTAGTGGCTGGGAGAAGTATCTAGTGACTGCCTGTCCTAGGACCCCTCAGACAGTGACAGACCTGGAGGACAGTTGTCCGGGACAGGAGAGTAAGACTGAGAAGGCTGTGCCAGTGTCCAGGAGACAGTTAACCTCCTGGTCCTCAATGGTCAAGCATAGCCGGCGCTCTGTGAGAGTGATGGCATGGGCTGGTGCTTGCCCTGGGCACCCTCAGTCCTGCTGCTGGATCATCTGGTTAGTGGCTTCTGACTCAGAGGACCATTGTCCTCTGGGGCAGTGGGCCTTCCAGTGATTCCATTGTCATGAGGGACATGGACGAGGGGGCAGCTTATTTCTATTCGGACAATCTTTTTTAAAGTGTCCTTGTAGACCACACTGGAAGCAAGCCCTATCGGGCGTTCTGTTTGCCCAGGCTTTCCCTTTTCCAAAGCCTCCAAAATCTGCTTGCCTGAGGGCCATGACTAAAGTGGTGGCCTTTTTTTTTTTTAAATCCTGTTTGTCCTGTTCCACCTGCTCCTCCTGATCTCTCTTATAAAAAACGGATGTTGCTAAGTTCAACAGGGTTTCTAAGTTTTGCTCTGGGCCTAAGGCAGACTTTTGAAGTTTTTTTCTAATCTCTGCAGCTGACTGAGTGATAAACTTGTCCTTTAAGATTAGTTGGCCTTCAATAGAGTCAGGTGACAGAGAGGTATGCTTCCTCAATGCCTCCCTTAGTCTCTCCAGAAAGGCGGTAGGATGTTCTTCCTTTCCCTGTGTTATAGTGGACATCATTGAATAATTTATAGCCTTCTTCCTAGTTTTCCTAAGTCCTTCTAGCACTCAAGTTAGCAAATGTCTGTGGCACCAATCTCCATGTTCTGATTCTGTGTCCCAGTGTGGGTCAGCACTGGGAACTGCCTGCTGGCCTGTGGGGAATCGTTCTCTTTCCTCTGTTGTCATTCTATCACTGACCTGACTAAGATACCAGAGATCGCCAAACTCTCGCGCTGCAGTTACGGAGGCACTTCTCTCATTTGTGGTTAGTGTCTGATCGAGCAGTAACATTATATCTCTCCAGAATACATCTTAGGGGCGTTTTTGCCTTGGGGGAACGTTTCCCATCTGAAAAAAGAACATACGGATGCCAGCTCCCCTAGTCATTTTCCCATGAGCATTAGTCCTAGAGTTTCCACTATGGTCCTAATGCTTATTCCTTTCCAGGGTGCGTAACCACCCATGGACCTCTGTTTATCGGATTCATTACACTCACCCATGTAGCTGTCCTGCACGTGTTGACCTGCCTTTCTTGACCACAAAGGGGTCCGGGCTGCTGGATTCTAGTTATCCTTTGCAAGCGTGCCCAACATTGCCTTTGCACTCATGGGTGAGTTCTAGAGCTGGACTGGGCTCCTAGGTATTTCAAAACAACCCAGTTGCCTCATTAGATGCATTCCCATAAACAACAGTACTTATGCAAATTCATTCCAGAGAGGGTGTAGGTAACCTTTTGAGTTGGGATTGATATAGAGTTTTTGCCCACTAGGGTCTTTTGTCCTTCTTTTCCTTTGTAGAAATATGCTCTAATTATCAATCTTAAGCCTTTTGTTGCCCTGGATTAAGTCCTTTTGGGTACAAAATATGGGAGATGGATCCTGTTTATCCTATGTGCCTTTTTCCTATGAGAAGGAGAGTGAGGAGAAAAAGATGTGCTTGCTGGTTTTGTAAGTACTTTAAGGCTTGGCTGAGTTCAAACAGCTTGAACGTTTGAGCAGACCAATTATTAGGCAATTTTCCTAACTCTGCTTTTACAGGAGTTTCCGTATCAATTACTGAATACCCATTTTTTTTTTTTCTTTCAGTCACCTGGGAGGAACCTTCTACGGTCCTGTCCTGAAGGGAGTTCCTCCTAGGTCTGCTTGGACCTTCGTGTGGTAATTAATATTTAAATCCCCTGTTAGGAATCTGCTGGGTTAAGGGAATTTTCAGTGGTTAACATTAAATTACCTTTTTCTAACAGAATAGCCCTATACTTCAAGATTTTTGAGTTAGTAAGCTACCTTTTTGCTTTTTTTACTTAGGATACTTCTGGTGAATTGTGCTCACGATGAGGTTTCCTCTAAAGGTTATTTTTCGACTTTCTTCTCTTAGCAAAGCAGTTGCCACTACAGATTAAATGCATTTGGGCCATCCGTGGGTTACTGGGTTAAGAATTTTTGATAGGAAGACTATGGGTTGTCAGTGGTCTTCGGGCTACGCCCTTTTTTACACTGACAACAAGTTGGTATTGGAATATTATAGGGTCACGGAGAAGACCTTCAATTACTAATTATAGGTTCTAAATTTACCTTGCTTTAAAAGGAATAGGGTACACTGTTTTCTCTTTACTACTTCTATCTCTCTCTCTTGGACTCCCTCTGTGTCTCTCTGTCTCTTCCTCTCTCTCTTCCTTTCTTTTTTTTCTGTCTCTCTTTCTTTTTTTCTCTCTCTCTCTATCTCTGTCTCTCTCTATCTCTGTCTCTCTCTGTGGATGGATTTTGGAAACACAGCGGAAGGACATTTGCTTGTTGCCCCCATTTGCCACTATAGGAATATGCGCCTCCTTTTAATTTACTCAATTCCTTTTTATCCCGATCTATTGTGTTGTTGTAGACACAGTTCCAGTTGTTAAAGTACTGGGTCATCAGTTCTAAGGCCCTGGCCAAGGAGCCAAGGCTTGGAGATTGTATTGCAGGTGGGGTAAGCTGGGTAGAAATCTGGGGAGGAGAGCAATTTACACAACGGGAGAGCAATCCTCCTAGCCATTTACAAACTTGGGTCCCTGGCAAGGATGGTGGGGAACGGGTCCCACATAACTGCCCATGTCGAGAGCTGTATATCTAAATTGGGAGGGACACCACGGGCAAGACTCCCTGGGTTCATAGCCTAGATGCCCAAGGACACAGCATAGAACTTCCTTAGATCCCTTTGGAGATACAACTTGCTCTAATACGTTGGAGAGGAAGTGAAAGTCTGAAGGTGGGTGTGGTCACCTTCCCCAGCTAGGCTTAGGAATTCTTAGTCGGCCTAGGAAATCCAGCTAGTTGTGTCTCTCACCACCATCTGCCAGCCACTCACTTTATTGTTAAATTCCAGTATACATGTAGAGTCATTTCAAAATCTTTAAACTCTACCCCCGCAGAAAAAAAAAAAATTACCAACTACAATTCAGTTATTTTTGCCCATAGTCTTACAGACTCCACTCATTTCCAAAGTCACTTAGGACAGCACTGCTTTTTTCCCACCTTTTTCAATGATATTGTTTCACGTATTTCTTAAAAAGTTGTATTATTTTGTCAAATTCTGTATTCTAACGTGGGACTCTCTAACCTCACAAAGATTTACAAGTTAAGGTTTACTTCTTGTATACTACTGGGTAGCTACTTACGCTTTTTCTCAATGTGCATGATAAAACAGCTTTATCTCTACCCATATTACAAATAAGCTTTTAACACTGGGCTCTTTCTCCTACCTTCTTGGCTGTCATACTAGAGAGTTTTAAGGTTTTCATTTGTTGTACATCACTTTTCTGTAATGCTTCAATGGTGAACCTACAAAAACTTCTTGTCTGGCCTAGTTTTCAACTTTGCATTTCTCTTTATAACTTCCCAACTCCCTTTTGGGTTAATATCAAAAAGAAGGACTCATTATGTGTAGTCATGTGCCTCATAGCAATGTTTTGGTCAACAAAAAATAGCACACACTATGTAGTCCTGTCAGATAATAATGGAGCTGAAAATTTTCTCTCCCCTAATAACATCATAGCTGTCATAACATAGCACAAGGCATTACTCACATGTTTGTGTTGATGTTGGTGTAAACAAACCTACTGCACTTTCAAGCATAAAAAAATATAGCACATACAATTATATACAGGACATACATGAAGATAATGAATGACTATGTTACTATTTATGTATTTACTATACTAGACTGTTTATTGCTTTTTTAGATTGTATCATTTCTACTTATAAAAGTAAGGTAACTATATAATAGCCTTAGGCAGGTTCTTCAGGAGGTATTCTGGAAGAAGTAATTGTTAGTGGATAGGACAGCTCTATGCATGTTGTTAGCCCTGAAGACCTTCCAGTGGGACCAGATGTGGAGGTGAAAGAAAGACAGTGATATTGATTATCCTGACCCCATGTAGGCCTGAGCTAATGTGTGTGTTTGAGTTTTAGTTTTTCACAAAGGAAGTGTACAAAGTAAGAATAAAAAAAGCCCTTGACAAATAGAAAATTTTGTAAAGAGAAAAAAGCTCATAGAATATAAAATAGAAAATATTTCTGTATAGTACAAATATTTTGTACAGTATGTGTTTGTGTTTTAAACTGTTTCATTACAAAAGAGTCAAAAAGTTAAAAATATTAAGAAGTCTGTAAAGTAAAACCTTACAGTAAGCTAAAAAATTTATTATTGAAGTAAGACAAACTTTTTATAAATGTAGTACAGCTCAAGTATACAGTGTTAATAATGCCTATAGTAATATACTGTAATATTCTAGGCTTTCGCATTCACTCGCCACCCACTCATTGATTTAGCAGAGCTTCCATTCCTGCAAGCTCTAATCCTGGTAGGTATAGGTATACCTATTAAGGTGTACCATTTTTATCTTTCATACTGTATTGTTACTGTAACTTTTCAATGCTTAGGTATATTTAGATTCACAAATACTTATTGCATTGTGTTGCAGTTACCTACAGTATTCAGTAAAGTGACATAGTGACATGCTATCATAACCTAGCAGCATATACACACCACATAGCCTAGGTTTGTATTAAGCTATACCATCTAGGTTTGTGTAAGTATGCTCTATGATGTTGCTGCAACTATTAATAAATTGCCTAAAGACACACTTGTCAGAATGTATCCATGATGTTAACCTGTGTATGACTGTACATATATTTCAACCAGTCTTATTTAAATTGATAAATATTATGGAAGAGTAAGTATTATCACTTTAAAATTTCATATTACAAAGTTTCATTATGGAGAGATGTCTGCATTCACTTTTTTTGTATGTAGGAGTGTGTTGTGTGCTAACTTGTACAATATGAAATTAAATATAGATTTGAATTGTATATCATTATGAAAGGTAAGCACAATACACTAAACAAATTTCACAATTTATTATATTTTGTGCTTAAAAAGTATAACCATTTTAAAAAGTCTAAACTTTGACTCTAGGTTAGTTTTTTCCATTAGTTTATCTTTTTACAAATATAGTTATGTTTTTAAATCATCAACTCAAAATATTATAACAAATTATATACTATAAAAATCTCCTTTAATATTAACATCATTAAAACTCATCCATTTTGTAACCAGGAATATAACATTTATAAGATCTGCTTCATATATTAATAAACATAGACAGAGGCTAATTAGGTGATTTGCTTAAATGTCAGACACAACTTTAATGCCAACAAATAATCTGGAAGCACATTTATGTTAGCTTCATGGTTTTTTTTTCAATTGTTCAACAAAGAGAGAACTTTTTTTTTTAATAGAAGAACTAAAAAACAAGAGAGAAAAACAATTCCAGATGGATGTCTATGCTGACAACTGCACTAACAATCTGTCTCTTTAACTCAGAAGTTAGCTTTGCTACCAAGGCTAAAATATTACTCATTCTTGAGCTAAAACTTGTTTTCTAACATGTTTTGTCTATATTCTTAAGATGCTATTAGGCTTACACATAATCAGCAATCATTCTTACCTTTACCTACTTGTACCTTAATTCTGGCTCATGCTGTAATCAATCTTCACCTAACTTTATTTCATTTTCCTAGAATTGTCAAAACCTTTACCCTATATGAACTGAAGCTGTAGTGTAGCATAGCTTTACTTTTGCAAGGTAAGAACTATTCAAAGTAATTTAAATTTAGTGTTTTTAAACCCAAGTAAAATAATCTTTTTAGAGATATTTGCTGAAAAAATACTTTCAATTCACAGAATACTTATGTGTTGTTCTTAAAAAGAATTAGCTCTAGATTCAATTCAGACATATGTATACATTCTTTAATAGTTGTATTAATATATATTCAGAATTAGAGATTTATGCCCCAGCATAATTTTATTTTGTATGTCATTTTCACATGTACATAGGGTAATAATTAAGTTACTTTCAGTTGATGTTTCATGAGTGGAATTTTAATCATTGTTAAAATTAGTTTTATGAGAGTTATATACAATTTTTCAAATAATTATTCACAGTTTATTTGAAAAGATCTTATCTGTATAATTTACTACATAGGGAGATAGAAAAAAAGGAGTCTATTATCTAAGTACTCCCTATTTTAAATCATTAATCAAACATTTTGTAATAACATTAATACTATAAAAGTGCCTCTAACATTAAAAGGGCTGTTATCTATCTATTGTCTGTTGTGGTACATAGCAATTTCAATAGTAATTAGTACAACTTTCTGGATACTTAATATATTTTTAAGATAAGTCATCTCTCATTCTGTGAAATAAAAGTGTATATTTTTTTCTAATAATATTTTCTAATGAAAAGTGTATTTTTTTCTAATTTCTAACTTCATTAGAAATTCAAAACAAAAATGTATTATTCAAAGTTTGTGTGTGTGTACTTGTACATTTGAGAAAGTGGAATTCAAAACTGTAGGTCCAATGTCAACAGGTGCCTTCAAGGTAATTCAGTTCTGAAATACATAATTTCAACTCTATTTGCTTATTTTCTACCTTTTTGCCTACTCAAAGTGACTTAAATTTACTGAAATAAAATGAGTAATCTCGTATCCTCTGAGAACAAAAACAAACACTTTTTTCTCAAAATATGGTTCTTTTTTCAAAGTTGTATTCTGTAACTTACATTAAGAAACATCAGTAATTGTTAGATCATTTCCAAAAAGCAGTGCTATGATATTTGTTCTGCAGCAGAAATGAAGATTCTCAAGTAAGAATATGCTTGCTATCCAATAAATGATTCTTAAATTTTCTGCTTTATTTTTAATAATTATATATATTTGACATATAAATATGTTATCTTACATTTTATTTAAATTTAGTCTTACTAAATACTGAGTTCTATTCAGACAAAAGCATATTTTAAAGTAATTCACATTCAATAATCTAAATATTGCTTTAAAAATTTTTTTATCAATAGCAATTTATTTTATTTGTCATAAAACTCCTATATGAGGGACTAACCAATAACCCTTAAAACTTCTCTAACCAAAATACAGCCCACGTATCATTTTTTCATATGGCTTTTTTTCCAGATGCATTGAGTGCACGTGTGCCACTTCCACAGTGGAAAGTAGCCTCTCATTGACTGCTTGTTCAGGTAGCTAAGCTTATATCAGCACTTTTCTTTGCAGTGGGGAACCTCTAGCATCAACAAATGCTCATTGATCCAGTAGAATAGGTAATCAACTGATAAGTTATTAAGCCACATATCATACACATAAACATAAACATGGTATGCCAGTGTAGGAACTGATAGATGTGTAAAGCATGTTGACTGGTGATTATGATTCATAGCTAATGGCAAAGAGACACTAAATATCCCACTTTAAAGGATAAATTTCAATAATTTGGGCCATGTACTTCACTCATGAAATTTTGGGAGGTTAAA